>NC_000003.12:168857089-169008604 GCF_000001405.40 Homo sapiens | reverse complement strand
AATTAGCTCACAAGATTATCACAGATCTAGTTTGTATTTTTCTCTTTGCTCTGACAGTCACTGTGTTAGTTGGCTTCTGGAGCGGATTCTCCTCTTGGTCACAGGATGGCTATTAGTAGCAACTAGCATCCTTTATTCATGCATCCTTAGACGCATGAGTTAGATGTAGAATGAGTGAAAAAGTGTGGCTACCTGTGACAACATCTTGAGAAACTGAAGAACATATCATGTAAAAATCTATTATTATAGCTCACCGAGTCCTTGATACAATAATGAATAAAACTGTAGTTAAATTCATATACCATAAATTGCAAGGCTGCCTAATTAAAAATTTTAGTTTTAGTTTTAAGAAAAATTTATGTACCTATTGCCATACAATTTGTCATATCTATAGCTCATCTATTTATTGTCATCATAAAAGTTTCAGCCTATTTTTGAGTAAAAAACAAACATTTTCTTGTGATATCGAGTTTATTTTAATAGTTATTTTCCAACTGCTATTGACTTGAATCACTGAGACATTAGTTAGAATGTCCTTCAACCTGTTTTAGAGAATTGTATTTGCTCCCTTAACATTGTAAACACTTTTTTTATTAGAGGTTAATTTTGCTTACCAACCTTGTGACACGTAAATAATGACCACACTGTTCCTAATGGCAAGTCAGTAGGCAAGAGGTGAACATTTTCTTAATGAATCAGAAATATATTTTGAAAGCATTTCTCTTCATGTAAGGAATTGCAACTAACAATTAAAATAAGTGACTAACAGATTCGTTTAAAAAACCAATGCAAAATCTTCCTACTCTGCACCTAGAAGTCTTTAGCATGTATCATTAGCTAGCTAAACACACACACACACACATGCACACACACAAATTTTACTAGTATGTAAGCCAAAATTATCTGAGACAGGTCTCAGTCAATTTATAAGTTTGTTTTGCCAAGTTTAAGGACATGCCTGGAAGAAAAGAGCATTGAATCACAGAAACAGTCTGTGGTCTGTGCCTTTCTCCAAAGATGATTCTGAGAGTTTCAATATTTAAAGGGGAAAAGCAGGCTAGAGGGGAAAGGGGGAGGGTATGGTCATCCACATGTTGCAAGAGAAAAGAAGCAGGTGGGGAATTAGTCAGTCATGTATTCCTCTCAAGCTCAGTAAATTGGCACTTTACATAATTTAAGGTGAACATAGAGTACTTACCTGTGGAGATATTTAACCTCTTATCTGTAGCTATCTGCTTAGAAACAAAAGAAAAGGTAGCGTCTTGCATGACTCAGCTTAATTTTTTCTTTTTGGCTTAGTGAATTGGGGTCTCAGGTTTTTATTTTCCTTCCACAAGTATGAGGTTAAAAAAATGTTATATTTTACCAATCAACTATACTCTTTGGTTTGTGAAATCTTGGATTAAATGAGATGGCTTTTACCTCTCGTGTTAAATGCTATTGATTATATAAGAAGCTATGGTTGCTACAGTCAAGGGCTTTGCCATCTATGTCAGAAAACAATATCCGTCCATGAACAATAGATAACAATATAAATTGTGAGTAGTCAATCCCAAATTCTGCGCTGGATATTTTAAGTGCCATAGGGAACACTCCAATAAACCATTGAGGCTCAGATGTAATTAGTGGCTCATTGTCTCTGACACCCTTCCATCCAGGAATTTCTTCTTTTTTTTTTTTTTAATTATACTTTAAGTTTTAGGGCACATGTGCACAACATGCAGGTTAGTTACATATGTATACATGTGCCATGTTGGTGTGCTGCACCCATTAACTTGTCATTTAACATTAGGTATATCTCCTAATGCTATCCCTCCCCCCTCCCCCCACCCCACAACAGGCCCCGGTGTGTGATGTTCCCCTTCCTGTGTCCATGTGTTCTCATTGTTCAATTCCCACCTATGAATGAGAACATGCGGTATTTGGTTTTTTTGTCCTTGCGATAGTTTGCTGAGAATGATGGTTTCCAGCTTCATCCATGTCCCTACAAAGGGCATGAACTCATCATTTTTTATGGCTGCATAGTATTCCATGGTGTATATGTGCCACATTTTCTTAATCCAGTCTATCATTGTTGGACAGTTGGGTTGGTTCCAAGTCTTTGCTATTGTGAATAGTGCCGCAATAAACATACGTGTGCATGTGTCTTTTTTGAAAAGATCAACAAAATTGATAGACCACTAGCAAGACTAATAAAGAAGAAAAGAGAGAAGAATCAAATAGAAGCAATAAAAAATGATAAAGGGGATATCACCACCGATCCCACAGAAATACAAACTACCATCAGAGAATAGTATAAACACCTCTATGCAAATAAACTAGAAAATCTAGAAGAAATGGATAAATTCCTTGACACATCCACCCTCCCAAGACTAAACCAGGAAGAAGTTGAAGGTCTGAATAGACCAATAACAGGCTCTGAAATTGAGGCAATAATTAATAGCTTACCAACCAAAAAAAGTCCAGGACCAGATGGATTCATAGCCGAATTCTACGGGAGGTACAAGGAGGAACTGGTACCATTCCTTCTGAAACTATTCCAATCAATAGAAAAAGAGGGAATCCTCCCTAACTCATTTTATGAGGCCAGCATCATCCTGATACCAAAGCCTGGCAGAGACACAACAAAAAAAAGGAATTTTAGACAAATATCCCTGATGAACATCGATGCAAAAATCCTCAATAAAATATTGGCAAACCAAATCCAGCAGCACATCAAAAAGCTTATTCACCATGATCAAGTGGGCTTCATCCCTGGGATGCGAGGCTGGTTCAACATACGTAAATCAATAAATATAACCCAGCATATAAACAGAACCAAGGACAAAAACCACATGATTATCTCAATAGATGCAGAAAAGGCCTTTGACAAAATTCAACAGCCCTTCATGCTAAAAACTCTCAATAAATTAGGTATTGATGGGATGTATCTCAAAATAATAAGAGCTATCTATGACAAACCCAGGAATTTCAATAAATGGAAATAACTAATCATGATATATTTGGCATTATGACCTACATTCATAAACAAGCAAAGGGACTTTTACAATTATATATTTAAATTACAGGTTATATGTTTCAAACTAGAGCTAATGTAAAATAGCAATTGTTACATAGAAATCAAAAAAGAAGATTCTGTAAAGTGATTCTGAAAACTCTATTGTATAACATAGTGAGTCTTGTGACTTTTGTGAAATAAATATTATAAAATAGGTAGAATTTAAATATCTGACATTACAAATTATTTGTAATTCTGGTTCAATATCAGCATATATATATAGTTATTTTGTTTGTTTTTATAGGGAAAATAAAGTAGAATTTTATACTTCTAGGAGGGAAAGATTCTTTAGCAAGTCAAATACTTTGGACCGTCAACCAATGGTGCCAGGGGTTTTGGGAGATCCATGACATAGAACATCCAGTCCTTGCTTGTAGATGTGTATAACCTGGTAAGGGAGAAAATAATGAAACATTTGAACTATCAAGAAAGCAGTTAAAAAATAAAAATAATTCATGTCTTGTAAAAATGTTCACTAATGCCAACATGGTTTTAACAAATCTAAAGTAATTTTGCCATGATTTGTTTTACTTGCCTAATTATAGACACAGGCTGCACCAGAGTATCCTGAGCCCAGGGAGTATTTCATTTGATAATTATTTTCTAATATTTATTTTTTCTCTTGAGTCTAAGAAGTAATCCCATACTAGGAGCAGTGGCACCTTCGAAGACTTCCTATTGAGATTTCAGAAGAAATTCTTTAGAATATTTTTTGTGCACCTGGTTCTAGGGATCCTCAGCTCCTCTCTCAGAACCCTTGTGCTCATTCTGAGCAAAAGTCAAATATATCTATTTCAAACTTTTTATTCGGGTTTGTTCTGTCTGTGTCATTTTTTTTAGAGTTGTTGCTGTGATACTATGGTTTTAAAAGATCTGAAAAGAATACCTGTCTGACTTATACCTTGCCACAATCTCCTTAAACTTTGGGGTTGGCCTATAAATGAAAGAAAAGGAAACGGAGAAACAAGAGAAGCAAGCAAGGATGAATAGGAAAAGGGCTTTGGAAGGGTGAAAAAGTCGATGTTTTTGTTTTTGTTTTGTTTTCAGGTGGAGGAAGGAGAAGAGAAATAATCTACTATTTTGCCTAGATCACATGAGTCATGAACTTGTGGTGGAGGTGAAAATAAACTCCTGGCCCTCCATCAATACTCTAACCACGAGACTGCCATTTCCTGCTTAGTTTTCAGAAATATATTTTATCGACCCTAAACTTGTTTGATATATAAAATGAATTTAATAATCTTAGGCTCATATAAAATAGAATAAGATTTATCAGTCAAAAGAATTTCCTGACCAAGGATGCACTGCATTACCTTAGGAACATACCCCAAGCCACATCATTTCTTTAATGATGCCTTTTAAAAATTCCTGACCTCCCACCACTTCTGCCCTGACAGATTTTTCCTGTTTTAGCAGTATACTCTTATCCCATCAAACAGCTTTCAGCTGCATTATTTATTTGGGTAAAAACAACAGGAGTGGAGATGAGGGACTTATCAATTCCAACTTACACAGAAAAATGACTACAATTATCAGGTTTGGAGTTACTTTCTTTTTCACCTCTTAAAACATCCCCCGCATTCATGTTCATGCGATGAACATGGCAACTTTCTGATTGCCTTTCAACCTCACTATTGTGTATGTCAGTTCAATACCTTTAATAGCCCTGCCTCTGTGTTCGTCTGAAGCTACTGTTGGTATCTGGGGTTTCACTCTTTGGTCTTCTAGTTTTACATCAGAAGCGAAGGTTTACCAAAAGTTCCTGACCTATCCCTGGTTGCAGCATTTCCTTGTTTCCTCAAGTAAGTCAGAGCCCTGCGAGAGGAATTGCTCTGAAGGGTAGGGGCTGAGGCTCAAGTGTTTTAGTAATAGGTTTGGGGTAAGCTGGACATGTCCTTCGTGACTAGTCTAAGCACATTAGGAGTGGGGATCTGAACGAGATAGGCAACACGGTAGAATAGGGAAAGAACTATTCTGGAAGCAACCTAGGCAACTTAATACCTAGCCTCTCTGACCCTCAGTCTTCTCCCCTCATCAAAAATACCCAGGCAGAAACACTAATACCCACCCTAATTACATCACTGTTATCATGGTGATCAAATTTCATCATGCAGGGTAAAATCCTTTTAAACTCTTAAAGCACTTCACAAATTATCAGCTTTCATTAATATGAATTCCCTGAACACTATTAAGCTGTTTGTCCCAACACTGTGGCTGTGGAACTAGCTTCCTTGAGTCCAGTTACACAACCGTCTTTCTCCATCTGTTGTACTCAACACCAGCTACTACAAAGGTGGCATAGGATATCTATGGATATCTATGATAAGAAGGTTGCTATCTACTGCTCCATACCGTATTTCCTGATTAAAACAAAAACCCATTTGTGATCATTTTTCTTTTCCTTCATTCTTCACTCTGTGAAGTTTTTTTGTGATAATTTGATCCTGGTTTTGTAGAGTTATCTCAAGGTGTTTCTCTTGCAGGAAAAGTATCAAGACATCTGTGGATGAGTGCTGATATAGTCACTGGCAACCTCTCTTCCATTTCCTGGTTGGCCTATTGTTTACCTAATTGCCAGTAATAATATTTCATTGTGTAAAGAATGTTGGCACCAGGGGCCCAAGTTCCAGTTTATTGATGGCTCAGAGCTTATGAATTGATGCCCTCAGCAGGTTGCTGCCCTGATGAATGGCAATTACTGTGGCTCCCACAGAGGCAATTGTAGCCAGAGCATTTACTCCTTTCAAATAATTGCCCCTGAGAAGCTGAACAGGTAATTGTAACATCTGAAAACCATGCTGTTGGCTCAGAATCAAAGAGTATTAATCTCCATAACAGAGGTGTTTTGGAATGACCCAAAAGAGTTGTTAAAGAATGGTCTCTGGAGTGTTTAATTTTAAGAATTGGAGAAACCTTAGTAAGATCCCCCCTCCCTAACGCAAATTAAAATGTTGTAAAGACACCCAGATAACAGTTACGGGTGCCCACCTTTTGATGTTGTAATATTCTATAGTGATTGGTTGGTTTTAAACTATGTACCTATCAGTACTTCTCCTTAAAATGCTTCAAACACCTTGCTCTAGCCAGTCTAACCTACCCATTAACCCCCAAAGTGTTATGTGCTTATTCTCACCCAGAATATTTGTTCATACTACTCTTTAAAACCATTCAATAAATGTATGCTATGAAAAATAACAAAAAAGTAGAATTATTTGGAATATAATTTAATTTTACACTATGATTTAGATGAGTTTAACAAATTTCTAAAGCCCCTTCAATGTAGATTGTGCTAAAATCTTGGAGTCATACGTGTCTTCTACAGACTCAAAGGATTATCAAAGTTTGATTTCTGTTTATTTTGGTGCCGTGGGAGAAATGAGAAATAACCACATAGTATAGCTTCTTTGCTTAAACTTTACTTTCAGGAAGAATATTGCACAAAATGAGAGAGCACATAAGGAGACTAACTCATGATGGTTTGGGAAAAAATGAAAGTAAAAGGGTAACAGAAAATACTGTAAGTATAGAGTCACACCTGCAGCTTTAAGGTCTTTTGTGTGGAATAAGGTTCAGACATCTTTAAGAATGGCATTAGAGGAAAGGAAGAAAATTTTTAAAAGGGGAAAAGATTTTCAAAACAAATGACGATATAGAAAGATCATAAACTAGCTTTAAATTCTAAAATACATGATGTTTAAACTTTTTTTTTTCAAATTGTTAGAAATAAGGTCAGTGTACTGAAAAGAGCACTGCCAGGTATGTTCTTCTGTAAAGCCAATCAAAGCATCATCATTCAAAGTGCCAGGGATTTAAAAAATATTTTAGTATCATCATATTTCAGACTGATTTGTAATGCCAAGAGGAGTGAGTAGAAGACTTCAGAGTAAATTATGAATCAGTTCGGAAACACTCAACAATTAGAACAAAAACTATGAAAAAGTGATCATGAACTTAGATAAATATGGGATAAAATTGTGAACATGAGTAAAATGAAATACATAGTAATTTTATAAATATATACATGCATGCACAACTAGAAGGACCCAAAGGATGCCAAGATAAAGATAGAGTTATTCATACAGCCATAGACATAAATTACCTTAATTTTTATTTACCTCAAGGTTTTAATACACAAGAGTCTCCTTCTTATATAATCATGGTCTTGTTCTGCTAATTAGATTATTGGAACTGAGAGGTCTATAGACTCATTGAACTGAACATGAATTTTAGACAGCATTTGTTCCAGGCATCTGTCTTAAGGCAGACAAACATCTGAACCAAAAATGACAAACGGGTATGAATTTAGAGGCCAATTTCAATCCATTTGTAGTGGACTGCCCAGAGCAATGCTTTAAGGTAGATTCTGAGGAAGGAGACCTGTGCCTCATTTATAATGTCTGTCACGATGCCATGCAGGAAACTTCTCTGGTCTAAATTGTTCAGGCCCAGGAATATCCCAGACACATATTGGGACAGAAGCTGGCTTGAGTGCCATGCATTTGTCCTTATTAAAGTATTTAGTATTAAAGAAGGTAGAACACAGACATTCAATCACTAGGTACTCTGGAGTATAATTACAAAGTACAGATGTATTTAACCTGGATTTTCTTTCACCAAAATTATCTCTGACATATTAGAGGATTTAAAACAATTGGTTTCTATATCCTGAGGAAATCTAAAAGCTTTCAGGCTATAAGTTCCTTGCCCTTCATTTCTTTAAGATTTTGGAGATCTGCAAAAAGGTGGGAAAGGGCAGAGAGCAACTGTCATGTTCTGTAAGTGAATGGCATCCATGTCAATGGCTATTCTTACACCATGCTCTTGTCATTTAGATGGCTACAACAGCCTAAGGCCTCTGCCTGCTCTATTATTTTTTTCCCCAACTAAATCTACCCACATGCTCATTTGAGCCATGTAACCGTAATGGAAATCATAGTCAGTTATCCTAATTGCAAACTATTTATACCTGATAGTCATGCAGAATAAAAAGAATTATTTATATTAAAGATGTGTCCAATTCACTTTGTGGTATGCTTTATACAATCACAATAAACTGTTGATTCCAGACCTTTTTCCACAGAGGCTCAGCTCTTTGGCATGGTCTCCTACCATAATTTAAAGCAATCAGAAGACATTAAAATCCTCCATTGAATCCTCTGACCTTGAACTATTTTCCTCTCTTCCAAAGGCTTTTTCAGTCCTTCTGTGTCCTTTCTTTGGTCTTTGCTTTCCACTTTAGCCCTAATGCATTCATTCATAAATTCAGCAAACATTCACTGATAATTACCTTTAACCAGTTAGGAAATATGTGCCAGTCACTGCAATAGGTACTTTCTGTTTTTTCTCTTGGTTCTTCATAGCATTCAAAAGATTTCAGAATTACTATCCTCATGTTATGGTTGAAGGAATTGAGGATTAGAGATGTTGAGTAACTTGCTCAACATCACGCAGCCAGGAAACACTCAGTTTGGGATGGGAGTTTAGCTATCTTCTTTCCAGTGATTTCCCTCCCTCCCTCCCTCCCTCCCTCCTCCTCTCCCCCCAAACCCCCCACTTCCCTCCCTTCCTCCCTTTCTCCTTCCTTCCTTCCTTCCTTCTTTTTTTTGGAGACAGTTTCACTCTTGTTGCCCAGGCTGGAGTGCAATGGCGTGATCTCGGCTCACTCCAACCTCTGCCTCCCAGGCTCAAGTGATTCTCCTGCCTCAGCTTCCCAAGTAACTGAAATTAGAGGCATGTGCAACCACATCCAGCTAATTTTGTATTTTTAGTAGAGACGGGGTTTCACCATGTTGGTCAGGCTGGTCTTGAACTCTTGACCTCAAGTGATCCACCCGTCTCAGCCTCCCAAAGTGCTGGAATTACAAGCATGAGCCACTGTGCCCTGCTTCAGTGATTCTCTTTCACTTGCAAGTCACTGCTTAATGCTGTGACATGTGTAATAATAAGACATTATCTAAATTTTTATGGAACTTGCAAATTACAAACATATCTAATTAGTTGCCTTTTTCATGTCCTATATCTATTGAATCATATGGTTCCATCCTCTTCCCCATCACTACTGCCACTAATATGGTCCTGCCCTTGTCACCTCATACTTTGTATCAAAAGTCTCTTCATTAACATCCTAGACTCTTTGGCATTTTCACTTACACATAATCTGCATGCAAAGTTTTCTTTCTGCTTAAAGACCTAATGTAGTACTTTAACTGGTTTATATGAAATCCCATGAGTAGATACAAAGGAAAATATGTAATTTATAGTTTATTTCACATATTATTTATTAGTTTATATTACATCTATTCATTCAACAAGTAATCTTTGTATGTGTAGTCATTATTAGTCTCTGTCAGAGATATAAAGAAAAATCGAATTTGGTTTTTTGGGCCAGAACACTCTCGGGGAAAAGTGAGAATTTAAGGTCTGGACACCAAGAGCTATGATTCAAAGAAAATAATAGTCTTGCAATCAGAGAGTTTCAGACTAAGAATTCATGAAAGGAAACAGATGAATCAATCAGGAATCATCAAGGAAGAGGAAGCATTTGGGATAGACCTTGAAGAAATACATTTCAGGCTTGTGCAAATAGAGGAGGCTGAGAATGCATTGTAAAGACGCAGCCAGTGTAACTGTATGAGGTGTTGGGGAATGCCATGCAGGCCAGCATCACTGGAGTTCTGGGGGCACAGAGCATATTCTGCTCTGACAGCTCTGTGCTCTGCTCTTGGATACTCTTGGTGGAAGTCAGTATTTCTCTTTGGTTTTGTAACACTGCTCACCTAGTGAACTCTGCTTATTCAGTTTCTGGAGTTTCCTTAAAATAATTTGTTTTTCATTTTTCTTTTACCATACCTAAGGCCTTTTCTGTACTCTGAAAAGTTTGATTCTATTTGGCCTAGTAAAAATTTTCACCAAATCTGTGTGCCAGTTGTCTTCCCAGTTGGATTAGAGTCTCTTCAAGGATCAGGAAAGCATTCTTCTAATCTCACATAAAACAGAGCTGAGAGCTGAACACATAGCAGGCACTCAGTAAACTCGGGATGCTTTATTAGGTCTTTAGTTAGGTATGTATGAAACAGTACACAGAAAATGTATCTGAAAAATGTTAAATGACTATTTCAGATTAATCTCGAATTGTTAGCTATGGAAAAAAGTAAACATCAATTTTAAAAAGGACACCACCAGATAATTCTTGGCACATTCTGCTTCTATTAAAGATATTTGTTCAATCAAAAACACTCATGTTGGATGAATATTGTGGTATGTATCTGGTTTTGAAGATCTGTCTTAGGAAAATACCAGGAAAGGAAAAACCTTAGTTACTTCAGTTTTAAAGCACCATTCTCAAGCTGGTGTTCATATCTCATTAACTAATTAGACTGGGTCATATGCTTTTTCACCAGAATTATTTTTACAAATATAAAGAAGTCTATTTCCTTTTCCCCACTGAAATTCAACTTTACCTATTCATGTAGAGTTATCACCAGATTAAAATTCATAATCTAAAACTCCTGTGTAATTTAAACAAATTCTGTTATTAAAGTCTGCCTATGGGATCACCTTGGCAGAATGAAACTCAATCTGTTAAAAGAATAACTTATAGGAGAACTATCAGAAAAGTTGAAAACCCCAAATATGTACACACAACATGAACATACACTGAATTGACATGCAACTGGTAAGTTTCATAAGCTCTATTATGTAAGAAAATTAAAGGAAGAAACTTGCATTTTTTCCCTCACTTCTACTTCAACTTGGTTCTATGTGGGGATAGGGAGGGTTTGTTGAGTCAATGACACTAAAGCTGGATATCAAAGGCTAAGCAGGATTTTCCCAGGGAGAGAGGGTCACATTAGGTGAAGTAAGTGAAAGTTCAGAATGAAGGTTTGAAAGTCAACAGGATTCTATTGATTACATTGTATAAACTGTGGACTAAGTGTTGTGGGGAAATAATGATGACTAGAAAGTGTCCCCCCATCATAATCCAGTAGAAAAAAAAATTTAAATAATTCCATTATGAAACATATAAACAGAATGAGACCAATATAGGAAGGTTTTCCAGATAGAATGGGATTTGACCTAGACCTTGAAAGGAGAGTAAGAATCTGGGAGGTGGTTTGAGGAGGAAAGGGCCTTTCTGGTGAGGAAAGAGTGTGAGTGTGCATATGCCACCATGACAGGAAAGTGGTGCTCTGGTTGCAAACTCAGGAAGCAGGGGTTTAATGACAGTGAAAGCTGGAATGGTAGTTTGGAGTTGAATGACAGAGTTCTTTGAATTATGGATCAAGCGCCTTGAACATTGAGTTAAGGAGAGAGTGTCATAATTTGATTTCTGTCTTGAGTTTAGCGTGTAAGCCGAGTTAAGAGATTCTGGGGAATTATACATAAAGATTAATTGTCACTGTAGGAAGGACACAGGAAAAAATTGTGTCTAATGTCAGGAGAAGTGGCTGAAGATGAAGCTTGGAAAAATCTTTCATACTAAGAAAGAGAAAAAATAGAGAAACCAAGAAACATTAAGAAAGAGACTGCAGAGAGACAGAGATACATGTTCTTGTACACCAAGTCTTAAAAAGAAACAAAACGAAACAAAAAACACACACATTCAGACACATCACCAGGGAACTTGTGGCACTTTGGCCTGTTGGATCTTATCAAAGATTCAGCACATGTGCTATGCAACTCTCTGAAGTGGGAGGCGATACAGGACCTATCCTATGGGATATAAGCCCCACAACGCTAATCTTTCACTTTCTCTTTCACCATCTTATCTAACCCAAAGTTCACTTAGTCTATGAGTCTACAGAGTCACTCTCTAAAAACTCCTCATATGTCATTTTGTAACTTAAACCAAATGGGATAATTCTGTACCACAGTTTTTAGAGTCTTTCCTAATGGCATTCACTTATCAATATGAGGAGAAAGAAATGACTAGAATGGCATTCTACAGGGTCCTGAAAGAGACTTTTTTAGATCCACACAAAATAATGATCCAAAAAATCTGCTTGTTTTTTTTTTGTTCTTTTTTTTTGAGACAGGGTCTTGCTCTGTTGCCCAGGCTAGAGTGCAGTGGTGCAGTCATAGCTCACTGCAGCCCTCAACTTCTGGGCTTAAGCAATCCTCTTGTGTTAGTCTTCCAAGTAGCTAGGACTACAGGTGCCTGCCACCATTCCTGGCTAAAATTTTATTTTTTGCAAATATGTGGTCTTGCTATGTTGCTCAGGCTGATCTTGAACTCCTCGGTTTAAGGGATCCTCCTACTTTGCTCTCCCTAACTGCTGGAATTACAGGCATCAGCCACCACACCCAGACCCAAAACTCTCTTCTTTAGGGTACTTTATTATTAAACAAATAATTAATTTAGAACACCTTTCTGTAAAGTTTTTTCCAAACATTTACCCATTTATTGGCCTAAAATAGTTCACATTACTTTGTATTTTTTCAGTAACTGTGGGATTGTAATAACATCATTATCACTTTGATTCCTGATATTGGTTATTAAAGCTCTCCCTCTCTCTTGAACAGTGTTGCCCTATTGCTATTAATTCTATAGTAAAAATAATTAATATTTGTTTTTGTTGAATTTTTCTATTATAGAATTGTTTTTATTTTATTAATTCCTACTGCCATAATATAATTTCTTTTCTTTTACTTTCTTTGGGCTTCTAGTTCTTTTTTTTCTAACGTTTTGAGATTGGCAAATACTTTTTTAACCTTTCTTCTTTTCTAACATGAAATTAAGTGTATATATTTTCTAAGCATGGACTTAGCTTCTGTGTTTTAAAGTTTTGATATTTATATTTGATAATCATTAAATTAATTTTCTTTCTAATTTCCACTGTGATTTCTTCTTTGATGTATAGGTTATATAAAAGTATATCGCTAATTTTCAAATATTTGGGAACATAAAACCATTTTTTATTATTGATTTGTAGTTTTATGCTACTGTGGCCAATGAACATATTTTGAATGGTTCCAGTTTTCTAGTTTAATTAAGATTTGCTTTGTGACACAACATATGCTCAATTTTGATCAGTGTCTCAAGGCCATTTGTAAAGAATATGTCTTCTGTAGGTGTTGGGTATGATGTTTTACATATGCCGTTTAGGTCAAATTTGTTCGTCATGTTATCAATTCTTCTATACCCTTATTGATTTTTTTGTGTATTTGCTTTTTTTTGAGATGGAGTATTGTTCTGTGGTTCAGGCTATAGTGCAATGATGCAATCTCAGCTCACTGCAACCTCTGACTCCCGGGTTCAAATGATTCTCCTGCCTCATTCTCCCACGTAGCTGGAACTACAGGCATGTGCCACCTTGCCTGGCTAATTTTTTTTTTTTTTTGTAAAGATGTGGTCTCGCCATGTTGCCCATGCTGGTCTCGAACTCTAGAGCTTAAAAGATCCATTCACCCCAGCCTCTCAAATTCCTGGATTACAGGTGTGAGCCACTGCGCCCAGCCTCCATTTGCTTTTGTCAGTTTTAGATTGAAGAATATTAAAGCAATTGTAGATATTTAATATTTTTTCTAGTTCTATCAGTTTTGCTTTTATTAGATAGAAACATACTTAGAATTTGAACATTAAAAAATTCCTATTTTAGTTCTGGTAATGATTCTTACCTTCAAGTCTACTTTGTCTGATATTAGTATAGCTATACAAGGTTCCTTTTGTTTATGGTTTGCAAGATATAAATTTCTTTTCCTTCAACTTTTAGCTTTTTTAATCTTTAAAATGTGCCTCTTATAGATAGTATATAATTTTTATTGTTGCTTTTCTTTAAAATTCAGCCTGATAATCTTTTTCTTTTTTGTAGCATATACTTCATTTTACTTTAGTATATTTTCTTATATATTTAGTTTTAAATCTACCATCTAACTATTGTTATATTTGTTACAACATTTCTGCATTCCTTTTCCTTTTCTCTTGTCTTAATTTGTCTTCCATTAGCTTGTTAATTATTCATTTTTCTACTCTCTTAGTGGTTACTCTATATAATAAAAATTTGTTCTTTTAAAAAATAATCTAATATCAATTGGTATTGTTTCACCCTTGCCCCCAAATGCAAGAAACAGAATACTTTAACTTCATTTATCATCTTCATGTCTTTTACATTATCTTATTATTGTCATATATTTTAATTTTACATATGTTTTAAATTCAATAAGACATTATCTTTCATGTTTTTATAAATCAATATTTCCTTAGATTTCCACTCATCTTTACCCTTTCCATGGTTGATTATTCTTTCTCACATTTTCATGCTTTCTCTGGAATCATTTTCTCTATCTGAGGAGCTCCTTCTATTATTGCCTTTAGTGTGGGTCTGTTGATGATACATTCTCTCAGGTTCTGCTTATAATAAAATGTTATTATTTCTCATTTTTTGAAGAATATTTTCCCAAGATGTGGAATTCTCAGTTGGCAGTTATATTTTTTTCCAGTATGTTGAAAATATCATCCCGTTATCTTCTGATCTTCATCACTGCTGATCAGTCTTATTGTTATTAATTTGTAGGAAATATGTCTATCTTGGTTTGAAGTTTTACTGTGATGAGCCTAAGTGTGGTTTATTTTATGTTTTGGAGTTCATAGTACTTTTGACTCTACTTAATGATTTTCTTGTTAGGATTTAGAAAATTATCTCTTCTTTCTAGGACATCTGTTAAAGAAAAAAACTATTCAATGATACTTGATGGTAAGGGAGACATTATTCAGGACCATTGGGATAGGTATGGGAACCACTGCAAGGGAGTCTTGCAATAAGGGAGTGACATTGAACTCAGCTACAGATACAGCATGGGCCACTGGGAATTTTTAGCCAAGGAGCAGTGGAAGGATCAGTGGATGGAAAATTACTAAGAGGAAGCATCAACAGTAAGGAATATTAAGGAATATTCTTAATAAACTTACCTAAGGGGATTCTTACTAAAGACAGGTCAAGGGGATCAGACATCATGTGGAGGACGGTGAAGGATGAAGAATCTGATCTGATATAAAGGATAATTAGATATTGAGGATGAGAGGTCTTGGCCAAACTTACTTAGCAGGGTTCTTTTGCTAAAACTGGGTTTTATGAGGAAGTGCACAGATGGGCCTAGGAGAAGATTCAGAAGCCTGACTAGTTTGACTAAGCAAAATTCTCTCTCACGCTAATTACAACTTTAGAAGCTTTGTTTATTTACCCCCTACCACATCCTAAATTTCCTTTATGTAGTTTTCTGGAGTTTTGTTTGTTTACTTTTATCCCTTTTTTCTCTCCATGATTCAGTCTGTATATAATTTTTTTGTGACCTGTATTTCAGTTCAATAATCTCCTCAGCTGTGTCTTGGTTGATGCTTACCTCATCTATTGTGTTCTTAATTTCAATTATCACATTTTTTATTTCTAAAATTTTTATTTTATTGTTTTGTGGCTCTCAGTTCTATGCTGAAGTCCTCTATCTTATCATCTGATTTCTTGAATAAATAAATTATGGTTGTTTTAATGTCCATGTCTGATAATTACTATATCCACATTTCTTCAGGGTTTGCTTTTCTTGTCTGTTTTTTTTTCTTGGTTTTGGACTATGTGCTCTTTCAGACAGTTAAGGTAGAAATAGATTATTCTAAACCAGTCAGATGGGCTTTAGTCTTTGTGAGGGCCAGTCTAATTCCATTTTACCCCATACTTAAAGTGTGGCCCTTTGGGGAAGCCCAATTGAAAGCTTGGGGTCTTTTCTAGGGTTTCTTGTTGATGAGTCCTAAACTCCAATTATTGCTACCCAGTCCTTCCAAAGATCTATTTAACTTCTCTGCCTCTTTGCTTTTGCTCGTGAATCAGTAAACGGCAGGGGGAAAATGGTGCAGGACATTGGGCTCATCTTTCTACTTCTGTCTAACCCTGTGTCTTGGATATTTTGACCTTTGTAATTGTCACTGCCTTAATAGCTCCCCAATTCTTAAACACAAAAATTTTCTATTGTCTATCTATCTATCTCTTTATCTATCTATCTGTCTGTCTGTCTATCTGTCTGTCTGTCTATCTATCTATCTATCTATCCAGCTACCTACCTATCTATCTGGGTGGTTGGGGAAGAGAGAGAGATGCATTTGTGTGTATATGTGTGTCTATGTGTTGCCCAGTTTTTTTTTTACTTTTGGTGGGAGGGTTCCTCTGCAATACACTAGCCTACCATTACCAGAAGATGAAAATGTCTGTTATAAACTCTTAAACATTCACCATTTGTTAAATAAATTTTTTTCTCTAAGAACAGTTAGCAAGAAACCCTGAAATGCAAACCTGAACTGTAAATTGTGTTAATAAAATTTGTTACCAAAAACAGAAATTAGGAAAGAAAATGAGGGAGAGAGGGAAGAGAGGATAAATGATTTTACCAGAGAAATTGGAGAAAGCAAAAGAGGAAGAGGAAGAAGAAAAAGAGGATACCAAGGAAGAGTTGAGACAACAGATCATTACAGATCTCCAGATAGGTTTCATCTTGAGGCTGTATCTCCACTTTTCTGATTTTTCATATCCTATATCTTTCTTGTATTTGTCACTTCCTGTCCCTTCAACTAAACTGTCTGAAAAGTTCATGGCCAGCCCAGTTACTGGATGCAACCCAACATTCTTTATTCAGACTCTTTTGGGCTACAGATATAACACATGTATGGCCTGCACTTGTATGTACTCCAGCTGAGACTGAACTTTCTCCTTTTTTCCTTCTCTACCTGTGACCCTCTTTCAGGCCTTTCTTGGTGTTCTTGACCATCTGACTGATATCCAGATTTGTCTGTATTCTGACAAGACAGAGCGGGCCACCTAACTTCAGAACAACATCATAGGTGCCAATACAAAGTAGACCAGATACACCGTCCAAAATACCCCTCCAAGGTTATTCCAAACCTAAAACTAAGCCAGGAGTTTTTCCAAAAATACATCACTATATTTTGTCTTGGGTGTTACTTCCCTACTTGGCAAACTAGGGCTAGAAAAATTGGAACAGAGATTTCCTGTTAGCCTCTCTTATATATTTTTTTCATATATATATATCTTTTACTTGTACCGTCTTTACTATGACAGAGTTGCCACAGCTTTCACAATGATTTATAGCCTGTCAGAATTTAGTGAAAGATCTACATTTTGTCTCCTATCTTCCTCAAAAGTGTTTCAGTCAAACCGTTCTCTTCATACTAAACAAATGTTTTTGTGTGCATAAATAATTGACTGAAAATATTTTATTTTATATTTCTACTTTCATATTGTAGTTCACAGAACTCTCTAACTATACATGTTTTCTCTTTTTCTTAACCTAGTGTAGTCAAACCCATCCTTTGGGGTCATCTCAAATCTTGATGCCTCTGTGTTTTTTTATTTTATTTTTTTAATATTTACTGTGACTAATCAAAAATTTCCTTTAACTAATACCAAAACCATTTTATGTAAAGATGCCTTGCCTCCAGAAATTGATGGAAACTCCTTTGTAGCAGGAAAAACATCCTTTCCTTGTAATACCTATGTTGTTGACATGTTTATAGTTTACAAAGGATTGCTACCTATTTCGTATTATCTCTCTTAAACCTCAAAGAACAGAGTAAAGTAGGAAAGTGCCCTTATTACAGTTTTAAACATGATGGAACTGAAATGTAGGGAGGATAAGTGATTTGTTCAAGATCATACCCTTATTAAGTGGAAAAGCCGGGATTGAGCTAAACATTGTTATGTTAAAGTCTCTGACCTTTCTACTATAGCATACTGTTTTCTACTTTTAAAATTCCTTTCAGCCTTCAACAAAGTCCTTCACAAGTCATAAGGGATCAACGAAAGAATAAATGAATAGATGTATGCTTTTGTCCACTTGCCACTTATATATTTATTTAGAAATAGGCCTAAAAGAAGAATTCTTCTGCAATTGTGGAATACATATAAAGATATATGAGCATTAGTCAATGTAAGGAATGACTAATAAAAATTAAAAGTCTCAATGCAAAATATGAATTCTGTGGTGTTATGTCCATGTTTCTAAGTTCGGAATTAAGCTGTTCTCAGCACTTGGGTAAACAGGCTCACTTAGATAGGCCAAGTTCTGATCTCGTGCCTTAACTGTCTTATCTTATTTAGATACATTAATGGGTTCTGCCTTGTGCATGAGTATGCTTTTAACAGCCGAAACACATACAGATAACACAGCCAAACTAACAGTATGATCATCTTCCCTTCCCTGACCCAGCTCTCTTGAAGACACTGTGAGGCATTTTCAGTCAGTTTATATTGTAGGAAATAACTTTTTTTTTTTTTTTGGCAGGCTGACAGGCCAAGACCAGATCTTCCAGCAACTGGTGTCTTTAGTTCCTGGAAGGTTTTGAAAATGTTAGACTATCTGTGCATTGTGCATTGCCTTTCTCACTTGTCAGTAAAGATTGCAATGTATTATCACCACCACTAATTTAATTTTCTGACCGAGAAGCATATACCTTAAAAAATGAGAAAAGAAAAAGAAATCTTAATGATAGCTTCTTGAACACTTTAGGCATTACTGTAAATTAGGTTTTGTGCTAGAACAGTCTGTTTGGTGCCAGGAACAATTCAAAAGGCTTACAATACAAAAAAGGTAAGGTTTTAACACAATGTAGTCTAGACAGAAATTGTGCGACAATGCAGTAAATTCATTATTGTAAAATTTAAAAAAATTAAATAAATAATGCAAAATTGTTTTTATTTACCTCTTGGTGCTAGATCCTGCCCCCTAAACTAGGGTATTTTTTACTGACATTTCCTCTATTCCAGAATATTTGTTTCAGGTAACTCTCCTGACCATAGACAGTGATTAAAAAAAACAAGAATTGAGGCTGCAGTTAAACTTGTGTCCAAATTCAGATTGGCCATCATCTCCGCAGCTCGGCTCTGTCGTAGCCAGTTCTTCAATGTACCTGTGTTGGGGAATGTAGGTCTACAACCTTGCCAAGACGAGGGCCAATTGTTTCATAAATTGGCAGGCCTAGAGCAGTGCTACAAGTCAGAACAGTGTCCTAGCAACCAAGTGACTCACTTATTAAATTATCTCATTATTCTCTTACTCCAAATTGGGAGAAAGCTCATAATTTCCTTCCAATGTATTTTCCCTTCACAATTCAGTTTCTTTTATAATTACGTGCAGGGAAAGAGGTTTCCACTGTGGTGGTGGGTTTCTTTTCCTTACCATTTAGGGTCTTTTAAATTAGAATACATTCTTCTTAAGTACATATGTATATACACATATATGCACACATACATATATAAATTAAAACTTCATCTGTTGCTTCCTTTAATCTCTATATTTTAGAAATATACATTTTTTTCTGTTAGTTTAGGACCAGTTCCAATTTCGAATCCCCAGTTTAGATTACATGCTCTGAAACTAACTCCAAACATTTACTGAGTTTGAAGGTCACAGTGCTATTGATTGATTTCTACTTATAATGTATGTTGTCCTAACATGAGTTGTGCTTTTTTTCTATAACATTGGGCTAAGTCCAAAAATGCAAGGATCAAAGCATCTGGACTTGTTGCTTTCATGTTTGGCATATAAAGGGGCTGGCAGTTACCAATGTGGTCTTGGCTGGGCCCTACTTGTTTTCATTCTCTGATGTGAAACAGTTGGGAATCATAGACCCTCCAACAGCTAGAGTGGACTCAACAAAAATTGGCTTAATAATCTGCCAAGCATTTGAAAGTGCCAGTCTCCACAGTTTTTCAGCAGTTATTGGCCATGACATGCTTCTTTCTTTCTTTCTTTTTTAGAAAAGAATTTGCTGTGAAATTAGTTTTGAGATCAACATTTGAAATAAGTAAACTATTCATCACAGTAAACCAACTTTACCATCTTTGATCTCATTTTATTCGTTATGTTACATGTTTCATTTTTCTTATATGATGGCTTCTTTTATCCATTTGCTTATCTGTTCTTTAAAAAATCAATATGATATATAACAAATAATGCAGAGAGTGCCCACATTTGACAATTCTATTTAAAGTTATCTAATTTTAAAAAGTTATCTAGTTATCTTAAAGCTTCTAGTTACTTATACATAAAATGTTCTACATTAAATATTAAAATTCAATTCCAATAAAAGTATTGAACATAACTATAAAGCACTATATTAGATGTGAACATATATTTTCATTAGAGTAAGAAATTTTCCAAATTTTTTTTACATTAAACTCTAGGGAAATGTACTTTTTTACCTTGAATTTTGTTGCCATGAATACTACTTAGAAAGGTGGAGCTGTTAGCTAGGGCTTATAAATATTTTTATTATTTAGGCATTTCATTGGCTTTGAATATAGTTTTATATTTATCACCACTTTTACCTTTCTCTACGGCCTTGTTTTTCATCAAAAGACAGTTATAATTAACATGCATTTTAAATGAATTGTTAAGATCTTCCAAGAAAAGGCTATACTAGCGCAAGTTTAATAGTATTGGTAGTGGTTATAGGGAGCCAAATTGGGAAAGCATATTAATATTTTTGCAACTAAACTAGAGCCCTTATTTGAATTTGAACTGTTACTGTACCCATTGCAATTAGACAAAGAGAAGCAATAATTAGCTTAAAAATTGGAAATAAATTATCACTATTTGCTAATGACATATTTGTTTCCCTGGGAAGTTTAAGAAAATGAATTAAAAGGCTTCACAAACAATAAATACATTTAGTAAGTTTGTTTGGGATATGTTACTATATCAAAATCACCTGCCATCATGTATCAAAACAATTATAAGTGGTAAAAGGGATACTGCATTTACAATAGGGACAAAAGTGAAATGGAATAAGATAACAGGAAATGCATAAGATCTATAAGAAAAAATCATAAGATACTACTGAAGAAACAATATAATATTCAATTAAGTGGAAATGCATATAATATATTTTTAGTAAGACACAACCTCTTAAAGATTTTCCTTAGTGTATATATTTAGTTTTAAATTTATAAGACAAGGATGTTTTTTGGAAGTGGATATGCTGTTTCTAAAGTTAATGTATAAAAATAGACAAGTAAGTAGAGCAAGAAAAATTCTGAAAGATGACAATAATAAGGAAGGAGCAAGCCCAATTAAAGCACATTATAGTGGTACAATAATTAAAACAGCATAGTGGCACATGGATAGACAGACTGATTAATACAATAGACTGAAAGGGCCATAAATAGATTCAGATATATACAGGCCTTTAGTATATGATGAAGGTGGCATTAGAAATAGTGGAGGTAAAGCATTTATTCAATAAATATGTTGGAACAACTGAGTAAACATTTGGTAGAAAATGAAGTTGAATCCTTACCTCACATTTGGCTACATCAAAATGAATTCCAAAATGGATCAAACTTTTCAATCCATAGGAGAATGTTTTTATAATCTGAGTGAGAAAAGCGTTTGCAGGTCAGATGTGAATCTAGAAGCCATTTAAAAAAACTAATTCAATTGCACAAATGCTATAGAATTCTGCATGGATTAAAAAAGGAAAAAAGTAAGAGATAAACTAAAAGCTAGGGATCTGTAAATGACATAAAATTATAGGCATTATTTTAATAATATTTGAATATTTCATTTGAATAATTAAGTAATAAGGAATCCAATGAAATTTGGGCGCAAGATGCCAAAGACTGCGAAAAGGGAAAATAAATAGCTCTATAGCAAATGAAAACATTTCAACCTTATTTGTAATGCAAGAAATTTAAGTTAAAACTATATTGAGATATGATTTTTTACCTTCAGTTTAGAAAACAAAACCTAAAAGTTTGATATGTTACATTAATAAAGGTGTGGAAAAACCTGCTTTTTCATGAATTGATGTCAATAAAGTGGAATTTTCTATAAGTAATTTGACAACGTCTAAGCTTTTTACATGTATGTGCCCTTTAGCCAAGCAATTCAGCTTCTAGGAATTTATCATGCACATATGGTGGCTCCTGCGTAGAATGATATGTATCTGAATATCTATTGTGAAATATTCTTTATTGGGAGCATTAAAACAACCTAACTGGACTTTAATGGAAGTCTGGAAAGAAATTATATCACATCTATAAAATAGAATATTATGCTTCTATAAAAGGATGAAGCATAAATTAGGAATTTTATTTTTCTAATGTAAAAGTAGTCTAGAGCTACCACTGTGATGCCATTCCACCAGCAAGGATTCAGGCTTCTTCCGTCTCTCTGTCATTAATTCTCACGTGTGGTTTACTCCCTACTTATTGTAAGACGGCTTTTCCATTTCCAACATTTTATTGATATTTCAACCCGAGAGAATTAGACTGTACATTTTTCAATCTTCCAAATAACATTCCTGAAAGAACCAATAATCAATTTCTGCTTCCCTCTCATTGGCCAGAATTGCATTGAACAGCCATCCAAATGGAAAGGTACCTTGGAACTGCTATGTTTTAGTTGGGCACATTTCTACCCTGAAAAGAACAGACTTCCATCATAAAGAAGGGGAGATTGTTAAGGAGTGGGTAAGAAAAAATAGATGTGTGTGTATGTTTGAGTGTGTAGGGGATATCTACAAGGAGGAATAAGAAACCAGTGGTCTGAGTTTTCTCTTAGGAGGAAAACTGGGGTTTACTAATTAAAGATGTACTTTTTACTGTATAAACTTATAACTTTGGATATTTTTATTAACATAGATGTACATATTTTGGGAGTACATGTGATATTTTGGAGCATGTGTATAATGTATAATAATCAAATCAGAGTAATTGGGATATCCATTGCCTCAGACATTTATCTTTTCTTTGTGTTGAAAACATTTTCTAGCTACTTTGAAACATGTAAGAAAATATTGTTAACTATAATTTCCCTACTGTGTTATCAAATACTGGAACTTATTTCTTCTATTTAACTTTATTTTTTTACCCATTAACTAACCTGTCTTCATTTCTCCCACTCCCCTTTCCTCCTCAGTCTCTAGTAGTGACCATTTTACTGTCTAACTCAGTGAGATCTACTTTTTTAGCTTCCACATATGAAGGAGAACATGCAATATTTGTCTTTCCATGCCTGGCTATTTCACTTAACATAATGACTTCCAGTTCCATCCATGTTGCTGCAAGTGACAGGATTTCATTCTTCTTTTATGGCTGAATAATATTCTGTTGTGTATATATGCCACATTTTCTTTGTCCATTTACCGATTGATGGACACTTAGGTTGATTACATGTCTTGGCTATTGTAAATAGTATTGTAATAAACACAGAATGCAGATATGTCTTCAATATACTGATCTCCTTTATTTTGGAAAGATACCCAGAAATAGGATTGCTGGATCATATAGTAGTTGTACTTTCAGTTTTTTTAGGAACTTCCATACTATTTTCAATAGTGACTGTACTAGTTTACATTCCCCTCAATAGTGTACAAATGTTCCTCTTTCTCCACATCCCCATCAGCCTGTTATCTTTTGTCTTGTTAAGAGTAGCCGTTCTAACTAAGGTGAGATGATATCTCACTGTGGTTTTAATTTGCATTTCTCTGATGACTAATGATGTTGAGCATGTTTTTTATATACCCATTGGCCATGTGTATGTCTTCTTTTGAGAAATGTCTATTCAGATATTTTGCCCATTACTAAATTGAATTATTTGTGGGGTTTTTTGTGTGTTTTTTTGCTATTGAGTTGAGTTTTATGTATATTCTGGTTACTATTCCCCTGTCAGCTTGCTAGTTTGCAAATATTTTCCTCCATTATGTAGGTTTTCTCTTTACTTTGTTAATTCTTTCCTTGCTGTGCAGAATCATTTTAGCTTGGTGTAGTTCCATTTGCCTCTTTTTGCTTTTATTGCCTGTGCTTTTGAGATCTTAGTCAAAAATCTTTGCTCAGATCAATATCCTGGAGTGTTTCCCCAATATTTTCTTCTAGTAGTTTTATAGTTTTAGGTCTTATCTTTAAGTGTTTAATCTTTCAAGTTGATTTTTGTATACAGTAAAATATGGGTATCTAATTTTATTCTTCTGAATATGGACAACCAGTTTTGTCAGAACCATTTGTTAAAGAGATTGTATTTTCCCCAATGTATGTTCTTGGTGTCTTTGTCAAATATAAGTTTGCTGTAAGTGCATGGATTTATTTCTAGGTTTTCTATTTTGTTCCATTGGTCTATGTGTCTGTTTTTTAGCTAGTACCATGCTGTTTTGGTAACTATTGCTTTGCAGTGCAATTTGAAATCATATAGTGTGATACCTCCAGCTTTGTTCTTTTTGCTGAGTATTGCTTTAACTATTTAGATGATTTTGTGGTTCCATACAATTTATTAAAGTTGCAGGATACAAAATCAACATAAAAATCAGTATGCTAAGAGTAATCCTGAAAAAGAAATCAAGAAAGCAATCCCATTTACAATAGCTACAAATAAAATATGTAGGAATCAGTTTAACTAAAGAAGTAAAAGATCTCTACAAGGAAAAATACTCCCCAAAGCCATCTATTGATTCAGTGCAGTCCCTATAAAAACACCAATGACATTCTTCACAGGAATAGAATACACAATCCTAATCTTTTAATAATCTTTGAATTTTACAGCTCATGCATGTATGACTTATTACCAAAATATTTTCAATCAAAAATTTGCATTACCTTTAAAATGCTTTTCAATGAAATTCTTCAAAATTTCTAATTCACGTAATTCCTTTAATCAAATTCTCTAATATTGAAAGGATAATTTCTACCATATGATTGGCACCATTATAAAAATCCATTAACTTTCTTTCATGGACAGCAGGATTTCCCATCATATCAGCTGCCTAGTGCACCCAACCAGTCTGTTCCTCAGAATGAAAATGACAAAATATTCCATGTCCTGCTTCTTAAGGGGTTGCCTGCAAATAATGGAATTTGAAAAAGTTATGTGTTTGAAAGCTAGAAGTCAGATCTACTGCATGAAGATCTATAGCATGCAGGAGTTTACATTTAACACAGTTCAACATTTTACACAGTTGACTATTTCATAGTCTTACGATTTTTTCTTCTTAAATATATATATTGAACTTGAAGAATATCCTATATCAGTTGAATACTGCTTGTATATGAAGTTTTAGAAACCTTTGTAAATCAACAATATATTAAAATCCCCACTTTCTTTGTAAATTAAATATGATATTTCCAATAAACAGGTGAGGCAACTAAAAAAAAGTAAAGACATTTGATTTACTCCAAGGCTTTTGAAACGCTAAAAGCAACAGCCTAAAAAGTAACCAAGTTGTTAGTTGGTTGTTCAGAAAGGTTGTCTTTAAGCCCTGGCCAGAATATGCAAGTCTTGCAGTTTTCCAAACCATTAACCATATCAGTAACACAGATACACAGAGAAGAATGTTGAAGCCAAAAGGAACTGAATGTGTTCTTTGTGCTCCCTTATTCTGTGTCCTTCACCAGCAAGGCTGTGTCTTATACATTTCAACCTTTAAGATGTTCACTAAGTTTCCCCTTCCTTTATCCCAAAGCTGCTGAGGAGGGTCTTGAGGAGGAAAAGGGTGACAATAATGCTAGTGTGTAGCATCAAGCCAAAGAATGAAGCAGCTAAATAGTAATTGTAACTTGTATATATTTGTACATTAATACTGCTGCTTCTATAGTAAACATTTTTGAATTCATTTCAGAATACTTTATTAGGTAAAAATTTTAGGGTTGGAAAATTCTTTTATTATTCCTTGAAAGCATCTGCAAACTTTCAGGTTTTCACTATTTGCACATATAATCTTAAAAACCTAAGAGGGGTGCCTCTATGAGGGAGCGTATGTGAGACATGGGGAACATAGGGAGGGGTCTGGGGAGAGAGGAGGAAAGAAAACAATGTTAGGTTATACAAGTCTTGTATCTTTAAAGACAGCTTGGAGACATGGAAACCATATGTGAACTTTTAGCTAATAAAATAAAATGCCAAAATGTGGTGGCTAAAGCTATTGCACCCAAAATGTAATTGGACATATGCTCATTTACTTGCTTATAATCAAAACATTAAAAAACTGTTTTGAACTCAGGCTAGGTGTAAGTATTGGACTAACTTAATTTATGTAATTATCTCACATGGAAAGAATGCATTGGTGCCATGGTGTTATTATTACATTATGAAAAGTAAACAATGTATAAGCTGGAATAGATAATACTTAAACAAAACCAAAAAGTTCCTATTGCCCATGTTGAAAAAAAGGAAAACAACTTATTAATTTCACACTGAAGCTATTTTTCTGATAAATGTGCTATTTGGCTAGCATGCTTGCTGTAGGTTTATCATGTTCATGCAAATGAATGTCAGTCTGTTTTGATAATCAATGCAAATTTCTATTCTTCAATCAAAAATAACAGCTTTTGCTAGTCTGCTGAAATTGCCAGCATGTCAGGCTTTGGTTGCTAAACTCAGTTTATACACTGCATGAATCTGGATTTCACATGTGAATTCATTCAAGAATATCAAAATATTCTTGAATATTGGGTAGGGCTTCCCCTACCCAAAGGCTCTTTTTAGTTAGTTGTTGTATTTATCTTCATTTATTGATTTCTTTGCTCATTCATTGGTTGATTTATTAAACATGTAGAAAAGCACAGTTATTAAAAATGCAATTGAATCCTGAAGTAGCTCATATATATCAGAATTTATTAAGGTTTAAATATAGAAGAAAGAGCAAAAGTATACTGAGTTTTTTTAATTTAAACAATTATGAAGAAATAAAAAATTTGACTTAATCTAGAATAAAGAACTATTTATATGTTTTTATTATTTCAGAAGCCATTTAAATAGGAACTTGAAAGGAGACCAGATGACATAATTAAATGGAATAAATTAAAAATCAATTTTCCTTACTCAAAACAAAGTAGTATAAGAAACTAAACACAAACGACATACGTAGGGAGCATTTGTAAAGCAACTTTTCACCCTATGGAAGAGAACATCATCCAAACTGAGTATCGATGGCAGGACTTGGCAACCCCTTGATTCACATAACTCATTATGTGAATCACACAACTCATTATGTGAATCACACATAATGGTTTCACAACTGATTACCTTTTGCTATATGTATCTAAATACATGCTTAGTAAGAAAGTCACAAAACATCTATCTGTGTATAATTAACAATTTATCGAAAACTTATTCTATATTTAAGATACAAAGAATTATCCTAGGTAAAGTTTACTGCAAAAACATTTTTGGACAAGGTAAATTTGAAGTTAGATTAACAAGATTCCATTGGTGAGGAGAACACATCCCAGACATGTGATCAATATAAGCAAAGTCTCAGAGACTAAGAAAACAGGGTAAGATTGGAAAAAGGAATACGAGTGGGCTGAAGAGAGTTGATCACATTAGGAGATAATGTTGAAAATCAAGGAATATTTTAAGGAACTCCAAAGAAAAAATTATTAAATTGAAATCTGAAAATAAGTATAGCTGATTTCATACTTTAAAATCTGTACTGAAGTTTTAAAACTAATTAAGTAGTTATTATGATTATATTTTTACATGCTGAAGTGAGATAAGTAAGATGAGGCTAATAGAAGGCATATAGACATCCCTATAGTTAATTTTTTAGTTTTATATTCAAGATGGACTAGAGCAGGGACTTTTCATGAAATAATTAAGGCTTAGTATTGGTGACTATCATGTAACCACTGAGTCAGAATTGTGCCCTCATAGTGTCTAGAGCATAGAAACTCAACCACTGAAAGTTTAATTGACTGACTGAAAAAAATATGAATCCAAAAATCATTAGGGGAAACGAATCATAAAGTCATATCAATTTACAGCAAAGCAAAACAAGGCAGAATAGTAGTAAAAAGTAAAAACACCTTTACTTATTTTTTCCCTTTCTATGAGAGAAAATCATATCATAAATAGTAGAGGGGAAAAGAAAAGACCCTTATCTTATGCCTTTACTAACTCTAGAACATCTTTCTAATTTTCCTAAGTTTATGCTCAGTATTCAAATGGGTATGGACCTTCCTAAATCAGTGACCAGTGTAGCTATCAACTCTACAAATTCTCAAAGCTTATTAATCTTTTAGCAGATTAAAGTTTTCTAATTCTTGCTTAAAGTTCCAGAAATAAACCTTTAAAAAATCACAAACATATATATTTAAATATACAAATAATATATATTATAAACCCAGGCGATCCTTGAACAATACATGTTTGAACTGTGCAAGTCTACATATGTAAGGATTTCCTTCTGCTTCTGCCACCCCTTAGAAAAGCCAACCTCTCCAACCTCCTCCTCCCCCTCAGCTTACTTAATGCGAAGGCAACAATGGTGAAGACTTTTGTGATAATCCACTTCCACTTAATAAATAGTAAGTATGTTTCCTCTTCCTTATGCTTTTCTTAATAACATTTTCTTTTCTCTAGCTTACTCTATTGTTAAAAATATGGTATACAGTACATGTAACATATAAAATATGTGATAATCAAATGTTTATGTCATCAGTAAGGCTTCTGGTCAACAGTTCAACAGTAAGTCAATTGGTAATTAAGTTTTTGCAGAGTCAAAATTTATATGCAGATTTTCAACTGTGCAAGGGGTTAGTGCCCCTAACTCCCAAATTTTCAAGAATCAACTATATATTGAAATCTCTCATTTAATTGGGATCTAATTAAACTAAAGAGCTTCTGCACAACAAAAGAAACTATCATCAGAGTCAACAGACAACCGACAGAATGGGAGAAAATTTTTGCAATCTATCCATCTGACAAAGGTTTAATATCTAGAGTCTACAAGGAACTTAAACAAACGTACAAGAAAAAACCAAACAACCCCATTAAAAAGTGGACAAAGAACATGAACAGATACTTCTTAAAAGAAGACATACATGTGGCCAAAAAACATATCAAAAAAACTCAACATCACTGATCATTAGAGAAATGCAAATCAAAACGACGATGAGATACCATCTCACGCCAGTCAGAATGGCGATTATTGAAAAGTCAAAAGCCAACAGATGCTAACAAGGTTGGGGAGAAAAAAGAACATTTTTACACTATTGGTGGGAGTGTAAATTAATTAATAGTTCAATCATCGTGGAAGACAGTGTGGTGATATCTCAAAGACCTAGAGTCAGAAATACCCATTTGACCCAGCAATCCGATTACTGGGTATATACCCAAAGGAATATAAATCATTCTATTATAAAGATATATGCACACATATGTTCATTGCAGCACTATTCACAATAGCAAAGACATGGAATCAACCTAAACACCCATGAGTGGTAGACTGGATAAAGAAAATGTGGTACATATACACCATGGAATATTATGCAGCCATAAAAATAAACAATATCATGTCCTTTACTGGGACATGGATGAAGTTGGAAGACATTATCCTGAGAAAACTGACACAGGAACAGAAAACCAAACACCACATGTTCCCATTTATAAATGGGAGCTGAATTATGAGAACACCTGGACACATGGCAGGGAACAACATACATCGGGGCCTGTTGGGTGGAGGGTTGGGGGAGGGAGAACATTAGGAAGAACAGCTAATGGATTCTGGGCTTAATAACTAGGTGATGGGATGATCTGTGCATCAAACCACCATGGCACACGTTTACCTATGTAATAAAACTGCACATCCTGCACATGTACCTCTGAACTTAAAATAAAAGTTGAAGAAAAAAATAAAACTCTGATTTATTAAATGCTAATTACATGCCAGGAAATACATTAAGTGACTTAATCACACAATATTGGTTAAAAATATAAGCTTTAGAGCCAAATTGCCTAGATTCAGATTCTAACCTTGTTATTGCTAACTTGGTTACCTTTGACCAGGTATCCTTTCCCTTAGTTTCCTCATCTTTGTACAATCTAAATAATAATATTTGCTTTATGCTCCATAGGATTGTTGTGAAAATTAATTGAGACATCACAGACAACATGCTTAGAATAGTGGCCAGCATAGAATAAGTACTTAATACATGTTAATTCTCACTGCACTACACAAATGTGAAAATGGAAGCTCATAGATTTTAATAACTTTGTCTAAGTTCACCCATCTAGTTACTAGTAGAGCTGAGATTTTAACACAGGTAAAACTGGCTAGTCTGTCTTCACAATGTTTCATTACTATTCACAACTCAGACCTCTGCCTTATCCTTCAATTGGCCTACCAGGTGCTGGTACCAAACCCAGTCAGCCTCACAGAGCACCATCTCCCTCCTGCCCCAAAACTGTCAAACATTCCTTACTCTCCCCTGACCTCTGCAGAATTCAGTGAACCTAAGCTACAGTTCCAAAAAGTCAGCTCATTCATTAAAGAAAAAAAAGTTTCAGTTTCTTCAGAAAAGCCAGAATGGCTCTTCAGTTTGTTTGTTTGCTTAGGATCATGTAGCTCTCCAAGAAAAACATTTAAGATTTTGGAGAGTAGTTGACTTTCGGTGCTGAAAAAAAAATGACATGATAACTGGACAGAGTTGGACCCAGAGCAGGCAACAGCATATAAAACCAAGAGACACTTCAACCATTCTGTTAAAGTTAGAAAAATCCATTACCAAGTTGTAGAAGGAAAACAACTTGCGGAAATATCATCTAGGGCCGAACGTTTCCAATCAGTGGTACTCCATTCATTATATGCTTGAGTGGTTCCAGAAACAACAGAAGACTGTGCAGTGTTACAATGCCAAGGACAAGAAAGGCAACTCAGCCTGTCAGACTGACTTCCCCTCACAGCAATCTGAAAGTTTCAGGCTTCTCTTCCTTTGCCCAGATGAGTTAGTCACTTGGGAAGTGAAGTCGTAGCCAAGGACTCCTTTCTGAAACAAATCTCCTTGCTCTCTTGTGGACCATCTGCTGCTTCTATAGTCTTCAGGCCTAGTACACATGGTGCCCTATTTGAAAGGGGCAAGCATGGCATTTCAATCCTTCCTCATTTGACTTTCCCTTAAATCCTTAGGTTAAGAGCTTTCATCAGCTGAACATCATTTTTTACAGTATCTCTACTTTTTATACTATACCTACAAAGCAGTTTTTTTAATACTACATCTACAAACCACTTTTATCAAAACTAAGAGAGCTAGTTGCTTAGTCTTGAGATGGCAGTACTTGATTCGCATATCTGATGATGTTTGCTAAAAAGTGTTGAAGAATCTTTTAAAAAGAATTGGCCACTGGCGTTTATAACACAGGGATGCTTTGAAAACTCTCCCACTAGAGCATAGCCCAGAGATTTTTTTTTAGATATCTATGTTCTTATCCCCGGTTTTGGATTGAACTGTGGTTAATTTGAAAGGGGCAAGCATGGCGTTTCAATCTTTCCTCATTTGACTTTCCCTTAGATCCTTAGATTAAGAGCTTCCATCAGTTGAACACCATTTTTCACAGTAGCTCTACTTTTTATACTACACCTACAAAGCAGTTTCATTTTCTATATGAGAAAACTGATGCTCATGAGAAGTTTAAAAGACCACACACTAGCAGGTGATAGAAATGGGGACTGTACTCAGGTCTGATGAGCTCCAAAATCCATGACTTTTCATGTGGCAGAGTTTAGGTTTTGAAGGATGAAAAAGTTAAGGAATAATATAAAACCTATACTAAAGTGTAGAGAAAAAGATACAAATTTTTTGTTTTACCAAATCCAGAAAATTGATGCCACTGAAAGAAATGAAAAGTTTTGGTGGATTTAACAGAAAAAAATGATTGTCGAGTAATCATGGTTCACTGCAACCTCAAACCCCTGGGCTCAAGTGATCCTCCTGCCTCCATCTCCTGAGTAGCTAGACTACAAGCATACACCACCATGCCCAGCTAATTTTCTTATGCTTTGTAGACATGGGAGTCTTGCTTTGTTGCCAGGCTGGTATTGAACTCCTGGGCTCAAGTGATCTTCCCACCATGGCCTCGCAAATTGCTGTGAGTACAGAATGGGCCACAGTGCCTGGCCCAAACATGTTTGTCTAGTACATATTTAGTCATAGAAGAAATGAGTGGGGCAAGAGAAAATCAAATTGTAGCTTGCCTGGAGGCTGTACACATTAAACAGACATATTGTCAATAGACAAAACATGGAAAAAATACGCATCCATACTGAAACATTATTTAAAAATTCCATTTGACATGCTTATTCATTTGCATTTCTATTTTATCATTTATACTGAAATAGTTAAATTCTTCTTGAGCTTAAGCACGCACATCCCAAACCTGCTTTGTAATTTAGATAGCAATATGTTTATGGGTTAAATCTTAAACATGACCTTAAAATTGGTGGAAAAAATGCTAAATATTAAATGGAAATATGAGGTTTTGATAATAAGATCCTAATATTAAGACTATATTAAGTCTTAAGACTGTACCAGGTATTAAACCACATTTATCAAAACTAAGAGAGCTAGTTGCTTAGTCTTGAGGTGGCAGTACTTGATTCACATATCTGATGATGTTTGCTAAAAATGTTAAAGAATCTTGTAAAAAGAATTGGCCACTGGGGTTTATAACACAGGGATGCTTTGAAAGCTCTCCCACTAGAGCATAGCCCAGAGATTTTTTTTTAGATATCTACGTTCTTATCACTGGTTTGGGATTGAACTGTGGTTAATTTATCCCTTAGCTTTTTGGCTCTCCTCTAAAACATTTGTAACTTAAAATCAAAACGGCTTCATTTATTCACTTTATATTTTCCATTTTCTTGGGTTTGTTCTAGTATCTCCAGCTCAGGAAAGAATAAATTTATTCAGGGCTTGAGTTAGGGAACAGCTGGTACTAAAAATGTTTCTCTTCTTTAAGCCCTCTCCCCTCCTTATCCAAACAGAGAAAAGACAGATCTGTTTTCTCCTACTCAAAAGGAGTGGAGTGAAATCCAAGTCCTCCAAAAAAAGAAATGGAATGCTGTTCTACCTCACTATTCACTCCTACTTTTGGACTCATACCACTTTTAGAATGTTAAACCATTTTTCAAAGACATTAGCCTCCCAAGAGGTAGGTGAGGATTAATTCCAGTTTGAGCAACATGTAAAACATAAAACTTAATAAAAACAAAGCAACACAACAGGCTGGATACCACTCTTTCTCTTCATTTTTAGACAATGAAGTTATAGCATAACAAACAACCCAGAGCCTTTGCAGCATCTCAAACTGCATTCTCTTGACTCTCCAATCCTCCAAAAAGAAGTTTGGGAAGACAAGAGCTTTTGAGAAATTGCCAGTTAAGAAGTCAGTTTGGAAGCCACTTAAAACCAAAGTTGTGTAATTAGAACTGTTGGTCTTTAGTATGTGTTTGAGTAATGTATTAAATGGCATTAACAGGGACAGTAAAACTCTTGCATTATTTTCTTCCCTGGGGGCATATAATACACAACTTCATTGACTGGAGCCAGTTTAGTAAATGGGGCAGAAAATGCCTGTAGAAGTGATGTAATGTTATGAAGAAAGTGGAGCATAAGATGGCATATAAACTCTTAATGGCATTGTTTCCTAGATTCTCCATGTGCAGCAAAGTGGATATTGTTGCTGCCTTTAAGGGAACAGCCTGATTACAATTAAAGCACTAGTGTGTTCATTTCCTGGCACACATATGAATGTGGGGTACAGATTAGGATTTATTTCATCAAGCTTTAATTTCATTTTCAGCCCCTTAAAAGTTTCATATCTTTTAAATATGCTGCCAGCAACCTGTTATCTGGTATAATGAAAAGCAGTGTAACCACTCACCAAATAAAATCCCACATAAAACCTAAACCTCAGTTTCACTCTTCAGGCACTGGTTTCATTGCCTCTTCCACCCACCCTTTCTCTCTGCCAGAGCCCCTAATGAGCAGCAGCACTGGCCAAATCCTGCCAAGTGTGAGCAGGTGGGTTTAATGGGATGTGAGATGTAGCTTGCCTATAACCAGACTACCATTCACTGGCAAGATCACATAGATATTAGGGGGGTAGAGAGAAAATTTTGATCAAGATGTTTACTAATAAGAATAAAAATAAATCATACTGTTTTATATTCATACTTTATTTATTTGTATAATACACATTACATGTCATAGCACCTTAAAGAAAAATTTCTGGAAAGATTTTGTTTGTCTTTGATAGATGCAATGTAATAGATTTCTAGCCGGGAGGAAAAAATTCTTTTCTATTTTCACAAAGTTCAGAAAAGCAAAAACTGTTTTGCACCTTATCACTGTTGATTCATTCTTTCATTCATTCATTTGTTCTTTCAAAAGAAACCATGAAGGAGCTTTCAAAGTAATTATTTTTATTTATTTCTTAGACAAATCAGTGACTACAACTATGGGGTTTGTGAAACAAAACCAAGGTTATTTTATTGTTATTTTGGCTTAATTATCTAGAAAATTTTTAACAAGTAAATCTTTTATGTTAATAGTTAATACTATGTTTTGTTTAAATTATGCTCTATGTATGTTGTGAGAAGAAAGAAATATGCTAAAGAAACTCAAGGGTGAATGTGGGAATCAAAACACATGACGTGATATGGAAGGTATTTTGAAAGTGGCGAAATATTTTACAGATTTACAAGCTTATTATTATCTTTAGAGGTAAAATGGTGTAGAGGAAAGAATGGACAAGGAATTAGAAGTCAAGTACAAACTATGCAACTAGCTGGTTGTATGGACCTCTGTGGGTGACTTAACCTGTAGGTGACTATCTATTTATTTAAATAGTCACTCTAATTGACTGTCTTTTTCCACTGCTCAGGCTTACCGTGAGAGTTAAGTATATTTAAAAGCACTTTTTTGACCTGTAAAACACAATAAATAATTTTGAAATTAGAAAATTGGGATTTTATTATAGTCACCATTTAGGAAGACTACAACTAAGTTTCAGGAATAGGAAAGTTTCAGAAACCTATTTCATACAAAAGCAGGAATTCAAATACTTCGGAAAAGTTTATTTATAAATAAGATTAATATCAATAAAAGATGGTATTTAATTAAGTGCCATTGAAGCTGGAAATATAAACACAAATACAATTCACTGATGTCTTAATTGACATTATATTGATAATAACCATATTTGTTATTTTTAAAATTTATATTTTACTTTTTAACACATAAAACAATATAAAACGTGTTTTAAAATAATATTTGTTCTAACAAATATGTTATTTAGTGCAAGAATATACCCAACAACCATGAGTCTAACAACTGGAACATAAGCAAGAATGTATATTAGTCAGTGCCCTGGTAAGAAACAGATGACATACTTAAAAGGATTTAACTGATAATAATAAATACCATAGCAACAATTACTAAAAGTTTCCATATCTTGTTCAATTATTGTGTTGTCAGATTCTTAGTTTCTGCCAACTGAGTGGGTATAAAATCTCATTGCATCTTAATTTGCATTTCCCTTATTATTAATGAAATTGAGCTTCTTTTTATAATTTTGGTTGGCAAAATGTTTTCTGTTATTCAAAACTGCTCATGTCTTTTGCCCAGATTTCTACATGGTAATTGTAGTACTGATATATAAGTTGTTGCTTTTTTCAAATATTTAAGACAATAATCTTTTGTTGATTATATGTTTTGCAAATATCTTCACAGAGCTTCTGACTTGTTTTTTAATTTTATTTTGAAAAATTGTTAAATTAATCAATCTTATTAATTAATCTTTTCTTGTGGAGTTAATGCTCTTTATGCATTGTTTAAGAAAGTCTTCTTTACCCTAGTTTCAGGGGGATCCCTCCTATAATTTCTTCAAAAATTGTTTTATATTTAACATAGAAATATTTACATCATTAGCAATTCATTTTAATATGATGAAAGAAAGGGGCTAACTTAATTTTTATATGAATTGACTTGTTTCTCACTGCATTTATTGAATACTCTTTCATTTCTCCAGCCATTCCACTTCTGTCTGTATCAGTTTCTCCTATGCCTAAACTTGTATTCTGTCCTATTTATCAGTCTGTCTATCCATGTACCAATGTCGTACTTTCTTAAATACTACAGTTTTATCATAATCCTTAATTTGTATTAGGACAAATCATCCCTCATTCTTCCTCATAAGTATCTTAGCTAGTATTGTCTCTTTTCTCTTCTATGCAAATATTAAAATTTGATTATAAAACTCTGTTCAAATTTGGATTGGAATAGCATTAAAGCTATATATTAATCTGAGAACATTTGATATTTTTATAACAGTGGCTATATCCACATATAAAATATCACTCCATTATTTGAGGTTTTGGTTAAATTATTTGGATAAAGTTTTAAAATACTAATTTGTCTTGCACATCTTTTGTTAGATTTTCCCTAGTAGACTACAATTTTTATTGCTATTACAAATAACATTGTGAAAATTATACTTTCTCTTTGTTGCTACTCTATAAAAATGTAATTAATTACTACATGTGAATCTAACATTTTGCCAACTTGCTATATATCCTCATATTATACTCAACTACTCTTGTTAGATTCCTTGGTGTTCCTCTCTTTCCAATCTTATATTTCTCTTTTCTTTTTTTAGGGCACTAAGTTAGGATGATTCAGGCTTACCTTATGGCCAAGTATACATGTAATCAATTTTTTAAATATTATAAATGTGGATGAGAAGAATGTATATTCTATAATTTGGAGTGTAGAATACTATTAGATCAATTTTTAAAATCTTTTCTGTGTGTATATTATTTTTTGTCTGCTTAACCTATTAATAATTAAAAGGTATGATGAAATTCCCACTATGGAGATGGATATACAAATTTTATTGTACTTCTACTTTTTTTTCTTTATATATTTTGAGGCCATTTCATTAGGTTCATGCAAACTATATCTTCTATGTGAATTGAGCTTTTATTATTATTATTATTATCTTTAACTTTTATTTTAAGTTCAAGGGTACATGTGCAGGCTTGTTTCATAGGTTAACTTGCATCATGGAGGTTTGTTGTACAGATTACTTTGTCACCCAGGTATTAACTCTAGTACCCATTAGTTGTTTTTCCTGGTCCTCTGCCTCCTCCCACCCACCATTCTTTGAAAGGCCCCAGTGTGTGTTGTTCCCCTCTAGATGTCCATGTGTTCTCATCATTTATCTCCCACTTATAAGTGAGAACATGCGGTATTTGGTTTTCTGTTCCTGTGTTAGTTTGCTAAGGATAATGGCCTCCATCTTTATCCATGTCCCTGCAAAGGACATGATCTCATTCTTTTTTATGACTGCATATTATTTTGTGGTGTATATGTACCACTTTTCTTTGTTCAATCTATCATTGATAGGCATTTAGGTTGATTCCACGTCTTTGCTATTGTGAATAGTGCTGCAATGAACATACACATGTGTGTGTCTTTATAATAGAATCATTTATATTCCTTTGGGCATATACCTAGTAATGGAATTGTTGGGTCCAAAACTATAAAAATCCCTGGAAGACAATCTAAGCAATATCATTCAGGACATAGGCACAGGCAAAGATTTTATGATGAACTTTTATTATGTGATGACCCTCTCTATAGCTAATATAGTTTAAAAACTTGATATCCATGTAGTTTTTGTTTAACCATTTTAATCATTTTCAAGTATACAATTCAGTGGCATTAACACATTCACAATGTTGTGCTACCATTACCACTGTCTTGGTTCAGGCTGCTTTAATAAGATACCATAGAGTAGATGGTTTAAACAACAGAATTTTATTTTTCAGAGTTCTGGAGTCTTGGAAGTCCAAAATGTAGGCATGAGTATCTTTGATGTCTGGTAAGAGCCCCTTCCTGGTTTGAGGATGTCTGTCTTCTCATTGTGTCCTCACATGGTATAGAGAGAGAGCAAGAGCTAAAACCTCTTTCTCCTCTTATAAAGACCCTAATCCCATCATGGTGGCTCAACTCTCATGACCTCATCTAAACCACATTACATCCCAAAGGCCCCACCCTCTAAAACCATCCCATTGGAGTTTAGAATTTCAATTTATGAATTTTGAGAAATACAAACATGTAGTTCATACCAATTACTCTTCATTTCCAGAACTTCATTATCCCAAACAGAAGCTCTGTACCCATTAAATAATAACTTCTCACGCCCTCCTATCCCCAGCCCCTGGCAACCTCTATTCTACTTTCTGTTTTTATGAATTTGACTATTCTAGGTACCTCATGTAAGTGGAATCATATAGTATTTGTCCTATCATGCCTTGCTTATTTCACTTAGCATGTTTTCAAAGTTCATTCATGTTGTAGCATGTAACCTAATATAGTTTCTGTGCTATAGTCTATTTTTACTGGTATTACAATGCTTGCCAGCAGTCTTTTAGCTAGTATTTGCCTGGTGTATCAGTTTAAATCTTTTAATATAGTCTTTTTATCTTTATGCATTAGGAATGTTTCTTATAATCTACAATAGCTTGGTTTTCTCAATTCAATTTGAAAAATCTTTTTTTTTTTTTAATTTTTTTTTTCAGGGGGGAAGAGTCTTGCTTTGCAGCCCAGGTTGGAGTGCAGTGGCATGATCACAGCTCATTACAGCGTCAATCTCCTGGGCTAAAGTGATCCTCCCATGTCAGTCTTTCGGTTGGCTGGGACTACAGGCATGCACCACCATGCCTGGCTACTTTCTGTATTTTTTGTACAGATAGAGTTTAGCCATGAGGCCAGGCTGGTTTTGAATTCCTGAGCTCAAGTGATTTGCTGGCCTTGGCCTCTTAAAGTGCTGGGATTACAGGTATAAGTCACTGCACCCAGCCACATCTGACTTTTAACTGACATTAAAATTATGGTTATTGATATACTGGTTATTAAAACTTTTAACCTTTATTTTCAGACCTTATATTATTTTTCTCCTTTCTTGTCTTTTGTAACTGATTAATCGAGGTTGAGATTTTTGTTATTTTTTTCCTTATTTTCTATTTTATTGTTTTTTTTCCCCACTGCTTCAGACTTTGGACCCCCATTTTACCATATTTAATGTAAAATGAAACAGTATATTAATCCCTACTCCTCAAAATGAAATGTCTTAAAGAATGTGCGTTATCTATATTCTTCTTATTCTGTAATACATATTAATTCTTTAGAGACATTTATCTAAGTCTCTAATATAAAACAATAACACACATTACACAATTACTTTGGAGAATAAATGATAAAACGATAGTGCTTACTTTCAAGAACTAGAGACCATAGCACATCATAGCATGGATTTGGGGGAAAAAATATGGGTTCAGGTTCTGACTCCCCACTTATTATTTGACCCTGGGCAAATAATAAGATGGGTGTAAGAAAGATGGGTCTAAGTAAGTTAGGTGTAATAATATCAATGATGTGTATCAAATGATAATATCAATTGATATGTAATAATATCAATATTCACTTATATATTCATTTATTCATTGGTAAATATTTGTCTGAACTAATGTATAACTGATTATGTATCAAATGCTGGCTATGCAGTGATAAACAAGATGTATACCCTGCCATTATAAAATTTACAGTCTTGAAAAGCATAAATTTAAAAAAATTATACGAATGACTGAGACCAATTCTCAAAAGAAAGAAATTGGTGTGCAATAAAAGGCTCTTTTAATGGTACTGTATATAAAGTATTTGGAATGTAGTAAACACTCAGTAAATGATGGTAGTATTTTTATGGATAATAATGTCAATGTCTTAGGAGTTTATCACGCATAAATATTAAAAGTGAACATGTTATATAATGAAATACCAAACTGTGTGTATTTCATTTTCTTAATGATGCCAAAAAAATGAGATTCGAAAAATGATCCATGCTATTTTCAAAAGCAGAATTCAGTGCAGTCAATAGAAACAGATGCAGAAATGTCAAAGATGATGCAATTGGGAGAAAAGAATTTCAAAACAGCAACTATAGCTATGTTTAAGCAGTCAAAAGAAAACATGAATACAATGAGGAGGAACAAAAGTTAAAAAAGAACTCAATTAAACTTCTCAGTTTTAAGCACAACTACATGAAAATTTCACTGATAGAATGAAAAGCAGGGGTGATACCATGGAAAAGAAAAGCAGTAAACGTAAGAGTAACAATAGAAACTTCGCAAAATACATTTAAAAGTAAAAATACTAAAAAACAAACCAACAAACAAACAAACAACCAAAAAACAAGTAAAGAACTTCAGTGGTTTGTGGAATAATATTAAGCAATTCAACAATGCACATTGGGAAGTGAACTAGTGTATCCAGGAAGTGGAACATGCAAGGAAGACTATTGTGAAGCCTTGAGATTTGGTGTTGTTCACTCTGTTGGAGTTTGGAAATGCTTGAGACCTGCTACTCCTTTCTTCTTTCCTTTTTTTTTCTTTTGGAATGGAAATGTGTACCTATGCCTCTCTCACCGTTGCATTTTAGAAGTAGATAACTTGTTTTCACAGGATCACAGATGAGACTTTGGACTTTTAAGTTAGTGCTGGAACAAGTTAATACTTTGGGGTAATAGTGATGGAATGAATGTATTTGTATGTGTAAGAGACATTAGTTTTAGGGAACCAGGAGTGAAATGTTATGATGTGAATGTTTGTCCCCTCTGATACTCATTTTGAAGCTTAATCCCTATTGTAACAGCATTAAGAAGGTGGGAAATTTGGCTATGGTATTTGTGAGGTGGAACTTTTGGGAGATATTTAGGATTAGATGAGGTCATAAGTGTGGGGTATTAGTGGTATTATAAAAGGAAAAAGAGATATCTGAACTAGCACACTTAGTTCCCTCACCATATGATGCCTGCTGCACTACTTTGGGACTTTGCAGAGATTCCCACCAGCAAGAAGGTTCTCACTAGACACAGCCCCTTGACCTTGAACTTCCTAGGTTCCAGAATTGTAAAAATATATATATATATATATTTTCTTTATGAATTATCCAGTCTCTCTCTCTCTTTTAATGAGATGGGGTCTCATTATGTTGCTCAGGCTGGCCTCGAACTCCTGGTCTCAAGTAATCCTCCTGCCTCAGCCTCCCAAAATGTTACAATTACACACATGAGCCACCACACCCAGCAGATTATCCCTTCTCAAAATGAACTAAGACAAGTAATTAAATGAAAATATGAACACAGTAAGCAGTGATATGAAAGATTCAAAAGAACCAAATTACACTTTTAAACTTCAAAAATAGTTGCATAAAAATTTCACAGATGGAATGAAAAGCAAAAAAGACATTATAAAAAAAAAAATTGACCTGGTGTGGTGGCTCACACTTGTAATCCCAACACTTTGGGATGCCAAGGCGGGAGGATCCCTTGAGCCCAGGAGCTTGAGAGCAGCCTGAGCAACAGCATGAAACCCCATCTCTACTAAAAAACTACAAAAACTAGCTGGGCAGGGTGGTTCACACCTGTAGTCCCAGCTACTCAGGAGGCTGAGATGAGAGAATCGCCTAAGCCTGGGACGTGGAGGTTGCAGTGAGTTGAGCTCATGCCACTGCATTCCAGCCTGGGCCACAGAGTGAGAGCCTGTCTCAAAAAAAAAAAAAAAAAAAAAAAAAAAAAAAGGAAAAAAAGAAAGGAAAAGAAAGAAAGAAAAGAAAAGAAAAAAGAAAATCAGCAAACTTTTGAGGGTATTAACAATAGAAATGTAACAAAATAAAGAGCAGTTAAAAAGAAAAATAAAAGGAATCTCAGAATTTTGTGGAATAACATTAAACTATCTGTTATATGCATATTTGGAGCCCCAGAAGGTGAAGAGAGACACGAAATGATATAATAACTATTTGAGAAATAATGTTTCCAAGTTTTCACAATGTGATAAAGACTGTAAACTTACAGATATAAAAAGCTTAATGAAGTGCAATCAAGGGAAACACATACATACACAAACACTCAGAAGCACATTACAATTAAATTACTGAAAAGCAATGATAAAGAGAAAATCTTACAAGTAGTCAGAAAAAAAAGACATATTACCTAAAGTGAAATAAAGACAAAAATAACAAGACACTTCTTACTAGAAACTAAATAGGAACAACATACTGAAGGTCTTGGCCCCCCAAAAATCTACCAATTTATAATTCTATATCTAGCAAAAATATGCATACTGTCAATCAATCCCAAAGCAGCCACTTAGAAAATAAAACAGAGAGTTATAAATAATATGCCAACAGCAGAGATAAAATGAATCCCTAAAACATACCCGGTTAATCAAAAAGGAGGCAAGAAATAAAGGAAAACAATTGAGTAAATAAAAAATGAATTTAAAAGAAAACAAATAGCAATAATGTAGACTTAAATGCAACCATATAAACTCTTACATTAAAAATAAATGCCCTAAAATTTCCAATTAAAATATAAGCATTATCAGATGACACAAAAGTCTGCCTATAAAAACTAACTCTAAAAACCTATAGCACAAAAAGGTTAAATGTAAATAATTAAAAAATATATACCATGCAAATAGTAATCCTAAGAAAGCTAGAGTGACTAAATTCAGATCAGATAGACTTTAAACTATGTAATATTTTAGTGATAGATATATTTTGTAATGATAAAATTGTCGACCAATCGAGAAGAGAAAACAATCCTAAACACATATGAATCCAGTATTAGAGTTTTAATACACATTAAATAAAGTCTCACAGAATGGAATAGAGAAACAGGCAAATCTACAATTATTGTTGGAGACTTAAACACTGTTCTTTTAGTAATTGATACAACAAGTAGACAAAAACCAGAATGGATAGAAAGGACCTAAATGGCATTAAAAACCACTTGACATAAATAAAATTTATAAAACATTCACCTGAGAAAAGCAGAATATACATTTCTTTTACATGTATATGAAACATTCACCAAGATATACCATATTTTAGGCTACAAAATAAGTTTCAATATATTTAAGAGGGCTGAAATTAAACAGAGTATGTTCTCTGACTACAATTAAATTAGATGAGAAATATCAGAAAAATATATGAAAAATGCTAAGTATTTGTATAAAGCAAAACAAAATATCACTTCTATATATGTATGGTCAGAAATAAGCCATAACAGAAATTTAAAAATATTTCGAATTAAGCAAATATATATATGTATATTTAAGATATACCGAAATGTGTAGGATGCAGGTAACACTGCCATTAGGAAGAACAAATATAGCTTTAAAAAGCTTTTGTGTAGAAATGAAACAAGTTGCAAAATCAATTATCTGAGCTTTCATTTTAAACATATAAATTAGAAAATAAATTCAATGTAAGCAGAAGACAGGAAATAATATAGATGAGGACAAAAGTAAAAAAAATAAAAAAGTAGTAATTAAAGCAAGAATAGGATTTTTGAAATCTTGATAAATACTTTAAAGAAATGATAAATCTTTAGCTAGAATAATCAAAGAATAAAGGAGACCCAGACTACTAACATAAGAACTGGAAAATGTGACATCATCACAGTTACTAAAGAGTAATAAGAGAATATTGTAAGTACCTTTATGGCAATAATTTTAACCTCCTCAAAGAAATAGATAAACTGCTTTGTTAATTGCCAAAATCAACTAAAAAAGAAATAGAAAATTTGAATAGGCGTGTATCTATTAAAAAATTGAATTTGTAATTAAAAACCTTCTAAAAAAGTAAACTCCCAAACCATATAGTTTCACTAGTAAATTTATTCCAAAGCCAAAGACTTTTTGAGAAAATGACACACCAGAAACTTTCATAAACATTAACATTAAAATGTTTAACAAGCCGGGCGCAGTGGCTCACACCTGTAATCCGAGCACTTTGGGAGGCCGAGGCAGGCGGATTACCTGAGGTCATGAGTTCGAAACAAGCCTGGCCAACATGGTGAAACCCCCATCTCTACTAAAAATACAAATATCACCTGGGCGTGGGGATACACACCTGTAATCCCAGCTACTCCGGAGGCTGAGGCAGGAGAATCACTTGAACCCATGAGGCAGAGGTTGCAGTGAGCCGAGATCATCACATTGCACTCCAGCCTGGAGGAAGAGCAAAATTCCATCTCAAAACAATAGCATAAAATAAAATAAATTTAACAAAATTTTAACCAATCAAGTTTAACACTTTTGAAATAGATAATACATCGTCTTAGGGTTTATCTCGGTGATTCAAGCATGATTTACCATTTGAAAAGCAATCATTGAAATTCATCATATCAACAGAATAAAAGAGAAAACCCTAATGATTATCATAATAGATATAGAAAAAGCTTTTGACAAAATTCCACAGCCATTCATAATTAAAAGCACCACACATAAGAGTAAATGGGAACTTTCTCAGCCCAATAAAAGGCATGTAAGACAAATCTACATCTATCATTATATGCATGGATGAAAGACTAATATCGTTCTACGTAAGATTGGGAAAAAGTCACTATCCATACAACATTGTACTAAAAGCCCCAGCTACTTAAGTAAGGCAAGAAAAAAAAAAAAGACACTAAGACTGAAAATAAACCTTTTTATTGGAATATTTGAAAACTTAGAAATTCGTAAAGAATCCAGAAAATTACTTGCTAGTGTTACTTGAACTAGTAAGAGAGTTTAGCAATACTCAGAATTTAAGATTAATTATACAATTCATTTCATTTCTACATACTTGCAAAAACAAATAAAAATTGAAATTAAATAGCGCTTACAATAGCATCAAAAACATAAAGTACTTATATGATGGTTAATATTGAGTGTTAAGTTGATTGGATTGAAGGATGCAAAGTATTGTTCCTGGGTGTGTCTGTGATGGTGTTGCCAAAGGAGATTAACATTTGAGTCAGTGGACTGGGAAAGGCAGACCCACCCTTAATCTGAGTGGGGACCATCTAATAAACTGCCAGTGTGGCCAGAATAAAGGCAGGCAGAAGAATGTGGAAAGACTAGACTGGCTAAGTCTTCTGTTCTCCATCTTTCTCCCACACTGGGTGCTTCCTGCCCTTGAACATCAGACTCCAAGTTCTTCAGCTTTTGGACTCTTGGACTTAGACCAGTGATTTGTCAGGGGGTCTCAGGCCTTTGGCTACAGACTGAAGGCTGCACTATCGGTTTTCCTACTTTTGAGGTTTTGGGACTTGGACTGGCTTCCTGGCTCCTCAGTTTGCAGGCAGCCTATTGTGGGACTTCAGCTTGTGATCATGTGAGTCAGTTCTCCTAATAAACTTCCCTTCATATATACACCTATCCTATTAATTCTGTCCCTCTAGAGAACCCTGACTAATACAATTTAAGAGTAAATTTAATAAAATGTGGGTAAAATATTTCTTCAATTTGATTAAAAAGTCTACAAAAATATACAGCTAACGTTATATTTAATGATGAAAAACTCAAAACTTTCCCACTAAGATAAAGAACAAGGAAAAAATGTCTTCCTTCACTACAGCTTTTCAACATAACAATGGAATGCAATAAGGCAAGAAAAAGAAATGAAAGGTATACAGATTGGAAGGGAAGAAATCAAACTGTCTTTGAAGACATGATTGTCTATGTAGAAAATTTGAGACTTAACCAATAAAAAAGTTCACAGAAATAATAAGCAATTATATTAAGGTTGCAGGATAGAAGATTAATTTACAAAAGTCTATCACCTTTCTTTCTTTCTTTCTTTCTTTCTTTCTCTCTCTTTTTCTCTCTCTCTTTCTCTCCTTCTTTCTTTCTTTCTTCTTTCTTTCTTCCTTTCTTTTTTTTCAAGGCCTGACTCTTCTGTCACCCAGGCCAGAGTGCAGTGGTGCAATCTCAGCTCACTGCAACCTCCACCTCCTGGGCTCAAGCCATCCTCCCACTCAGCCTCCTGAGTAGCTGGGAATACAGGTATGTGCCACCACACTTGGCTAATTTTTGTATTTTTTGTAGAAATGGGGCTTCACCATGTTGCCCAGATTGGTCTCAAATTCCTGAGTGCAAGCGATCCGCCCAACTTGGCCTCCCAAAGTGCTAGGATTACAGGTGTGAGCCACTGCATCCTGCCAAGTCTATCACTTTTCTATGTCTCAGCAATAAACAAGTGTAACCTGAAACCAAAAATGCAATACCATTTACATTAACACTCTAAAAAATAAAACACTCAGGTATAAATCTAACAAAGTGTATACAAGATCTACATGAGTAAAATTAGAAAACTCTGATGAAAGAAATCAAAGAACCAAATTAATGGAGATATTCCAATGGTATAAACAGAAAAATGATATTGTCAATATGACAGTTTTTTTCAATTTGACATACAGGCTCAGTGCAAACCCAATCTAAACCCCAGCAAGTCATTCTGTGGATATTGAGCTGAGTATTAAGTTTAGATGGAGAAGCAAAAGACCCAGAATAGCCAACAAAATATGAAAGGAGAACAAAGTTGAAGGATTGATGCTACCTGCTATAAAACCATAGTAATCAAGACAGTGTTATATTATTAAAATAATAGAAAAATAGATCAGTGGAACATAATGGAGAGCCCAGAAACAGACCCACATACTATAAACATAGTCAAATGACCTTTGATGAAGAATTAAAGGCAATACAATTGAGAAAAGATAGTCTTAAAAATTATGTTGAAATAAACAGACATCCACATGCAGTAAATTAAGCTAGACACAGACCTTACACCTTTTATGAAAAGTAACTTGAAATGAATCACAGACCTAAAAGTAAAACACAAAGCGATAAAACTTCTAGCAGATAACAGAAGAAAATTCTAGATAAGCTAGGGTTAGGTGATCGCTTCTCAGATATAAAACCAAAGACACAGTCTATAAAAGAAAGAATTGATAAGCCGAATGTCATTAAAATAAAAAAAATTTTACTTCATAAAAGTTAAGAGAATGAAAAGAAAAGCCACAGACTGGGAGAAAATATTTGCAAAAGGCAAATTTGGTAAAGGACTATTATCCAAAATATACAAAGAACTTTTAAAACTCAACAATAACCCAGTTTAAAAATGGGACAAAGACTTAGACACCTAACCCAAGAGGACATATACATGAAAAATGAGCATCTAAAAAGATGCTCCACATAATATGTTAACAGGGAAATGCAAATTAAACAACAGTGATATACCACCTCATACTATTAGAATGGCTCGAATCCAGAACACAAACAATACCAAATGCTAACAGGGATGTGGAACAGCAGGAATTCCCACTCATCACTGGCAGAAATTCATTGCAAAGTGGTACAGCCACTTTGGAAGATAGTTTAATGACTTCTTGCAAAACTAAAAATACTCCTACCTTAAAATCCAGTAATTATAGTCCTTGTTATTTACTTAAGCAAGTTGAAAACATTATCTACACAAAAAACTTCACACAGATGTTTTTAGCAGCTTTACAGATAATTGTCAACACTTGGAAACAACGAAGATCATGTTCAGTAGGTAAGCCAATAAATAAATTGTGGTAATCCAGAAAACAAATATTCAGTGCCCAAAAGAAATGAGCTATCAAGCCATAAAAATACATGGAAGAAATTTAAAAGCATATTACTCAGTAAAGGAAGCCAATATGAAAAGACTATATACCACGTGATTACAACTATATGACATTTTGAAAAAGGCAAAGCTAAATTAGTGATTACCAGAAATGAGACTGGAAGGAGGCATAAATAGGTGGACCAAAGGGTATTTTTAGGCCAGCGGATCTATTTTGTAGACTATAATGGTGGATATATGTCACTATACATTTGTTCAAACTCACTGAATGTAAAACACCAAGTATACACCCTAATGTACACTGTGGACTTCCAATTATAATGATGTCTTAATGTAGATTAATCAATTGTATCAAATGAACTACTAAGGTGGTGAATGTTGATAATAGAGGAGGCTGTGTGTTTGTAGAGGTTGGGGTTATGTGGGAAAACTGCTGAATTTTGTTGTGAATCTAAACTGCTCTAAAAAATAAAGTCTATTAAAAATGTGGGTAAAAGCTATACTCTAAAATATATAAAACATTTTTTAAAGAACTAAATGAATGGAGCAATTATATTATATTCATAGATTGTTGAAAGACTCAACATTGTTGAAATTAAAGTGTAAATTGAATTCAATTTACATCAAAATCCCAGGGGCTTTTTACAAAAATAGAAGTTTTTCTTCTATTTTTCTAAAATTCATATGAAAGTTCAAAAGCTCTATCTGGAAATACCAACAGAATGTTATAAATGAGCAGCAATGTTGGAGAACTTACACTACGTGAATTTAAGATTTACTCATTATAAAGTTATCTTAAATAAGACTGTGGTCTTGGCATAAGAATAGGCAATAAGTTCAATAGAACAAAATGGAGATTCTAAAAATAGACTGATGCATACATAGTCAATTGATTTTTGACAAAGGTGCCAAAGTAATTCAATGGAGAAAGGTTGGACTTTTCAACAAATGATGTCAGAAAACTGGATATCCAAATGGAAAATAAAAATTAACCTCAGTCTTTAACTCAGCCACGTGTAAAAATTATCTCAAAATGGACAATAGATTTAAATATAAAAGCCAATGCTATAAAAATTTCTTAAAAAAAAGCATAAGAGAAAATCTTTGTGACCTTGGAAAAGGCAAAGATTTCTAGAATACAAAAAGCACAAACATAAAAAGTTGATAAATCTGACTTCATCAAAATTTAAAATGTTTTAATATTCAAAAATCTCCATGAAGAAAATGAATAGGCAAGACAGGGGCTGGCAGAAAATCTTCACTGTACGTATATCTGAGAATAATATGTATTTTACAATATAATAGTAAAAGAATATAAATCCAATTAGAATGAGTAAAAGGCTTGAAAGTTTTACCAAAGGTATGTAAATGGTGATAAGTCATGAAGAAATGTTCAAATGCATTAGTTCTCATGTAAATGCAAATTTAAACTGCGTGAGATACCATTACGCACCACTGAAACAGCTCAAATTACAAAACTAAAAATACTCTAACTTTAAAATCCAGTAATTACAGTCCTTGTTATTTACCCAAACAAGTTGAAAACATATTATCTACACAAAAACCTTCACACACATGTTTTTAGCAGCTTTACTGATGATTGCCAACACTTGGAAACAACCAAGATCACTTTCAGTAGGTAAGTCAATAAATAAATTGTGGTACATCCAGACAATAAATATTCAGTGCCCAAAAGAAATGAATTATCAAGCTATAAAAATACATGGAAGAAATTTAAGAGCATATTACTCAGTAAAGGAAGCCAATATGAGAAGGCTACATATCACAGGTAGTGGCAAGGATGTGGATGTGGATAACTATGGGAATGTAAAATTGTACATCCCTTTGTAAAACATTTGTATAGTTTCATATAAAGTTAAACATACCCTTACCACATGACTCAGCACTTCCACCTCTAGTAATTTACCTAAAAGAAAAAATACTAGGAAGGGTAGCTGGGGGCTGGGGAGGGCGGGGCGATGGTTAACGGGTACAAAAGAGATAGAAGGAATAAATAAGATATACAATTTGGTAGTGCATCAGGGTGATTATAGTCAATAATAACTGAATTGTACATTTTAAAATAACTTAAAGAGTGTAATTGGATTGTCTGTAACTCAAAGGATAAGTGCTTAAGTGGATGGATATACCTCATTCTCCATCCATGATGTGCTTATTTCATATCGCTTGCCTGTATCAAAACATCTCATGTAGCCCATAAATATATATACCTACTATGTAGCCACAAAAATTAAAAACAAAGAAAAATATAAAAATAATTTTAAAACTTGACAAAAAAGGAAAAATACAGACATGTCCACACAAAGTTCTTTCACAGCAACTTCATTCTATAGTTGGAAATGAAGTATCCAATAGGTGATTATGGGAATCCATACAAATAAATAGTATGCAATGATAACGAATAAATTCCTGATATGCAACAATATGGGTAGCTCTGAAAAACATTATGCTGAGCAAATCATACCAGAAACAAAGACTTCATACTCTATATTCATTTTATATGAAATTCTAATGCATAGTGATAGAAATCACATTAGTGGTTGGGAATAGGGTGGAGATTACTGGGAAGAGCACAGGAAATATTCTGGGGTAATAGAAATGTTTTAAATCTTCACTGTGGTGATAGTTACAAGGGTATACACATACGGTCAACCCTCCTGTAGGTTTTGCATCCACAGATTCAACCAACCGCATACTGAAAAACTAAATAGCAATACAACAGTAAAAGAATACAAATAAAAATACAGCCTAACAACCATTTACATAGCATTTATATTGCATTGGGCATAAAAAGTAATTTAGAGATGATTTAAAGTGTATGGGAAGATGTGTGTAGTTTATACAGAAATGCTACACCATTTTGTCTAAGGGAATTGAGCATCTGAGGATTTTGGTATCTGAAGAACATCCTGTTCTTCAGATGTTCCCCAGATATGGAGGGACAACTGTATATATTTGCAGTGATGGTTACATAGGAACATTTTATCATGTATAAATTATACTTCAATAAAATTGATTTGTTTAAACAGCTTTCAGCTTACTGAGAAAGATATGCATACATAATACAACATTAAATGCTAATATATATCATGGTATGTTTCTAAAACCATAAGACAGCTACTCATTCCTGCAGTTATGTCATTAGATCTTTCTGTTTTCAAAATTTTTCTTTTAGAAATTCTGTCAAACAATTATATTTAAAAATCATTAGAATTTTGTTACCACTTTCTCAGACCTATTGTCCTGGTAATGAGAAAGTCATCTTTACCCTTTAGAGGTGCATTGGCTTCGGACCTAAGGCTTCACATCTGAATTAACACAATTTTTAAAAATTAAATTGTGTCAAAATAAGTAATAAAGGTAATGGTAAAGCAGTTTTTGAAGGGTGTTTGGCCTTCTTTGAAGCTGTGCTCTTTATATCGGCTGTGAAGAAACAAGATAATATCCTATTTCTCCCTATGTAGAAGAAGGATGCTTGGGGAATCACACCTGTGAACAGTAGTTTGTAGATGTGATATCAGATCCAGAAAAGAAAAGGCAAACTCCACTGACAGATTAAATGAAAAGTAAACAGGTTTGTTTAAGGTAATGACAATGAGATGGGTGTTTTGACAGGATTCATGGTGATGAAAAGTTAAAAGAGTCTTTACCCAGCTTGGGATCTGTCTTCCATCTCACCCTTAGTCCCTTAGTCTTTCACAATGTGAAGGGCAGATGGTAGATAATGTCATCATGACAAGTAGCATTTAACACACATCAGAGAGTCATCAGTCTATTCCCTCCTTATTAGAATCTGTACTTCACTGTATTCTTTTTAGTGGGGAACAGAATGCACAACAAACAATCCCACTAAACCAGATATCGTGTACTGATTGATCTCATTTTACAACCTGGTTCTTATATGACCTTGTCTTTCTGCTCTCACTACGTGATATAGCCAGACCCTGCTCTTTGTGAGTGACAATCAGCCCTTATATCTCTAAAGTAATATTTATAAGAATCCCAGAAAAATAAAAAATACCTACACCTCAAGAAAAAGTCAGCAGTGTTATTACTAATGACTAGTATAATTAATACATTAGCATTGCAGACTGAAGGTATAGGAGACTAGAAAGCAAAGTGGTTATGCCAAAAGTTTGGGAACTGGGTTGACAGGTTTGTTTCCTGGTTTTCCTGCTATCTAGCTTTATGATCTTTTGAAACCTACTTTTTCATATTTCAAATGAGAGTTCTAATATCTACTGTAGGCTTTTTTTTGAGGATTCAAAGAGATAAGGAATGCAATCACTGATGACATTTCCTGGTACACTGTTTGGTATATAGTAGCTTTGTTTATCATTATAGATTTTATTAAGAGTTAGGATTCCGGACTCCTAATGCTCATGGACAGCTCCAGCAATGGGCAAATCTTAATTTTATGCCCAAGTTTCCTTTTCTGTGAATTAGGGTATGACACCTTTCCTATCTATCCAGATGGATCATTAAGAGAATCTAATGGGAAGGAACTCTGATGCTTGCAATGGCTAATTAATAGTGTGCCCACTTTCTCTGTATCTGTAGTGGGAGTAAGGAGTGGGAGTCAGAAAAAGTGAAATTTAAGATAATTTTTTAATTGGCTCAGAGAGCATTTTAGAGAAGAGAAATGCATAATTGCATAAATTACAAAGTTTGAGTAAGACAACGAGGGTGAGAAACATGATTCTATTAAAATCAGAATAAAAAACCATGCATTATCCTGAAAGTATATACAAATGTGAAGAATGTTGGATTCTAGGAAATTATTTTTTAAGATTGTTAGGAAGAGAAACTCGGGTCTTTGTTTGGCCTGCTTCACCATACACATACACACATGAGCGCGCGCGCACACACACACACACACACACACACTCTCTTAATTCCATGTGATTAAGAGCTCCGTTCCTGTCATTTTCAACATGCCACTGCTTCCCAGAACTTGGGGAGGCTTTGCGAGACAGGGCTGCCTAGTTCTTAAGTGTCCCTCTTTGCATAACTCTGGTTTCTGAAGAGGTACGCCAGAGGAAAAGTGCACACTGTGTCATTTCCAGGATTTACAGGGAACCAAATGCTTGAGTCAGAAGTTGCCAAGTACACATTTCATTTTGATTTAAAAGACAGTTAATGTCTAAAGTTGAAAAGAACACAAATGATTATTAATAAAATAAGTTACAGTAACAGCTGAGAAGCAGATCCTTTTTACATGTAGCAGATGATGCTAATTTGCAGTTAGGTAGCTAAAGTGGGCTCCTAATAAAATGAGAATCAGTTTTCCGAATGATGGTACAGTAAGGCATTAGATTCTCTTTGAAGATAAAGAGGCAGATGGGGGATTTTGATATGTCACTGGAAAAATCATTTTCTGTAGTTGTACTATAATGCTCTGTTTATACCCCTAACTTCAGTGCCACAACGACTTGGCAAGGAGCCACAATGGCTCACAAATGGATGCTTATGGGGGCATTAAATGGCGCAGGCTTAGTTGCAGACTGGAGAAAATGAAGAGGCTGATGGTAACTGTAAATGTGGACCTTTCCAGTGAATGGTGATATATAAGACTGATGACTAATAAACATACCCTACATGGGAAACATTTGAGTGATGACATCTTTTTTCTTTCACCCTTTTAACTAGCCACAATAGCTGGGATTTTACTTAAGGAATATATGGGAAACAGACTAAGCCCCAAGGCAGATCACCCTGGCAGCTGTAGAAAGAGAAGGCTACACTTTCCCATGTATGTTATCTGCATTTTTCTATTGATTTAACATCTGCCAGGGGGATTAGCTTGGTCCCCTGCATGCTGCACATTGAATGCCCAAGTCTGGTGGACAACAGTAGCTTCCTGCTCTAAGAGAAAAGAGACAGGTTATTCAACTGTGGCCATGAAGCCCCTGGCTCTAGCCATGGCCATGCTGCTTGGCTTTTTGGACAAATATACCCACAAAGATTCCATGTTATCTTAGGCACAATTCATTTCTAAACTACTTCTTTCCTGTGTCTCAACAAGGAAGATATATGCACTTCCTTGATACTCATAGGGATATTATGATGATCAAGTGACAAAATTATTATAATTTTGCAAAGCATAAATCATAGTGCAAGACGTCATATTATTGGCTAATGCTATTTTGAAACAAAGAAAGGATTTCTTTAAAACTTGTCAGTGTGATTTACTATGTCCTAATGTTTGCCTGTAGATATATATTTTGGGGTGCAAAATTAGCTTGGTATGCTATTAGACTCTACCACATCACTAAGCATATTCTTACTCTTTTTACCTACTCTGTTTCCTCCTGTGTTGCTATACTAGTCCATTCTTTCTTTGTTATAAAGAAATGCTTGAAACTGGGTAATTTATAAAAGGAGGTCTAATTGGCTCACTTCTCTGCAGGCTGTACAGGAAGCACGATGCCGGCATCTGCTGAGCTTCTCAGTGTGATTTATTATGTGCCTAACGTTTGCCTGTAGATACATATTTTGGGGTGCAAAATTAGCTTAGTATACTATTAGACTCTATCACATCACTAAGCACGTTGTTACTATTTTCATCTACTCTGTTTCCTCCTATGTTGCTGTACTAGTCCATTCTTTCTTTGTTATAAAGAAATGCCTGAAACTGGGAGGTCTAATTGGCTCAAGTCTCTGCAGGCTGTACAGGAAGCATGATGTTGGCATCTGCTGAGCTACTGGGGAGGCCTCAGGAAGCTTACAATCATGGTGGAAGATGAAGCAGGAGCTAGCACATCACATGGTGAGAGCAGGAGCAAGAGAGAGAGCGAGCAGGGAGGTGCCACATTCTTTTAAACAACCAGATCTGATGAGAACTCACTCACTATAATGAGAACAGCACCAAGGAGATAGTACTAAACCATGCATGAGAAAACTACCCTTATGATCTAATCACTTCCCACCAGGACCCATCTCCAACACTGGGGATTACAATTCAATATGATATTTGGGCAGTAACACATATTCAAACTATAACAGTTGCTAAAATCAGCCTGGTGCAGTAGCATGTGCCAGCTACTAAGGAGGCTGAGGCAGAAGAATCACCTGAGCCCAGGCATTCATGTCCAGCTGGGAGACAGCGAGGACCCATCTCTAAAAAATAAAATACACAACTTGCTATTTCTTTCTATTTTTGAACCTAAGTTAGATGACTTTAGGCACACAGGCAAATCATTCCAGTTTTTTGGATATTTTCAGCAACTTGCTTTTCTCTCACTAGAAAAAAAAATCACTTTAGGATAAAAAAGAACATGTACCTGTTTATCCTCTTCTGGTCATTCTAGAACCATATTCTTGGTCCGCTTCTGGTCATTCCAGGACCATATTCTTGGTCCTACCATCGGAGAAGGGAAGGGGGCACTCCTTTGCTCAGATATACACTTCTTCATATCAACATAAACATAAACTGTTTCTTGATATCTGTAGTACCTCAAAGTCTGTCGGTCTTCTTATTTTACCTTTATTATACAATACTCAAAGCAGATTCAAGGGTCCAGCCTCTGTGTTAGAGAACTAAATGGAAGATGTTAAGGTCAGCATGACTTAACATGACAATCAGGTCAACATGACCCTTTTCAGGACTAAGTGCTAATCCTGTGGCCAGCTCAAAGAATAATGCTGTCCCCCTCCCCGCAGTTTTTCCTTTCATCACATTTGTTACGAAGACAAAACGTTCTATTTAGAGTCAAGATTGCCTATTTAACATGATGTGGAAAAAGAAATTATAAAGTTATTTAAAAAGTTCTTCCTCCCTACTCTCCATTCTCCACCATTACCCTGCCCAACTACATAAACATTAAAATCCAATCTAGCCCTCATTGTGAGACTTAGGAAGGCATGTTTCTATTGGCAACCAAGTTCCTTAACATCACTGCACACTGACTAGAAAGGAATCAGGATTGACGAAAACACAAAGGTAAGATTTGTTCTAGATGATTTATTCTGCTGTAATTTCTTCCAAAAGCTCCCTATCCCCAAAACACACACACCCTTTTTTCCCTTAAATAAATAATGAGCTTTGGAAGTCCTTTAACCTGTTTTTCTTATAGACATCTTTCTAAAAGAAAATAGAGACAGTATATTCTGGAAGTTTATATAAGTTCCAAAAAAGGAGTCACTCTGGTGCAGTTTCAACCCTCGCTACAGCAGGTTTCTTTATGGTGAGTATGACAAAGGGCAGGCTGTGCTGCAAAAATGCCAGCCATCTCTGTGTTCAGAAACCTTCTATCACTCTTCTTGATTTGACATGAAATATTAAACACCAGTTACCAGCAAAAACTTATTGAACACAGATGTCCACTATCACTTTCAAATTGCTAAAGTCAATTTAGGTTTATATATTTTCTTTGCTTCAGCATTTGCATGCAACGCAAATGTTCTGTGACAGTAATGATTTCGCAATATACCATTTCAATTAGGAAAGCACGTTGTATATGTGTTTTCATTTTTAAAATGCCTATTTCTTTTCATTTTGAAGCTCTGTGTCCCTCAATAATAATGGGACCTTGGATTGAAAAATAAATAAAAAGAAAGAGCTCCACCTACTGATTCATTTTACAAACGTTTTTTCTGTTCTACTTGAATTGAAAATGCTCTTTGGCACAACAGGGACCTTGTGAACATGTAACTCAAACTGTTTGGTTTGAAAAAAAAGAAAAAAAAGATACAGGACTTGCCCCCATGGAAAGGAATTGGTTAGAATGGAGCTCTGTCTGTCTCTGTGACTTAAAAGGCCTCCTCCCCTTTTTCTGTGCCCCTCAGAAGACCTAATTAATAAGTCTGCTTCAGGTTTAGTGCTCCCCAGGGGTATAGGTTAACTGTGGCATTCCCTTTTGCTGGGTTTAACAGAATTCTGGCGAGTCACACATTTTGCTCTACTACAATAATCGTATTCATGTCACTGGCTGCCCCTTCCTTCTGAAGGACTTGGTGGGCGCCCTTTGAAAGGATTTACAGGGCCATTTCTCCCACTGGTGAAGCTGGAATTGTTCAATGCCTACCATACTACTCCCCAACCCCCACCAGCACCTAGACTCAAGTGATTTCATAGGGAAGTGAAGAAAAACATCCACTGGGAACCTGGGGGTAACTTAAGGAGGCCAAGATTAATTACTTGAGGAGGAACTGCCTGGGCCGGACACTGGGGGTGCTCTTTGGGAGCAGCATCTGGAACGATGGCCTGTTGTGATGTCTGCCAGCTCTGGTCCTGCTAGCTCAGTTGCTCAAAAGCTTCCAGAACCATTTTTAATTCCTGCCTTGGAGCTACTTTTAGGGACGTGTCCCCAGGAGTCTCTCATTGTGTGCCAACCCATGCAGTTTTCTGGTTGTATCACATCAGACTGATGTGACTTATTGGGGGAATATTCTAACCTCTTGACGGGTCACAATGTCCTGGGCCTTCCAGTTTGGACCCTGCTTCCTACATTATAGAATTTCTTTTAAGAAGAAAAAACCCTAGACTGTATTTGTCTCATACATTTGAGCAGTGACTATAGAAAATATTACCAATGGGCAATAAGATGGTATCTAGAAACACACAATGGAGTGGCTTCGAGTCCCCTACCTTTGAACCTGTCTGCTCAGTCATGCATTCCATAGACATGATTAACTAACCATAGGACCCAGGTATTCGAGGTCTGAATATAAAATGTTCATTCTTCCCCCAAATGATTCACACATCACCTATCACCGCACAGTTGCCAAACTCTATGGTTTTCTTGTCACACATAAATTCAATAGCTGACCACAGCCAGGGACAGAGATTTCTTATAAATCAAATAACTACAAACATTAGAGAGAGAGGGAGGGGACTCACTGCCACATTTCAGTCAATCAAAAATACACGTAATGAGAGTCTACTTTGTTCAAGGTGCTGTGCTTGGTGCTATGGGAATATCTAATAAAATATGACTGGCCCTAACTTTGAAGCAAGGGAAATGTCTACCTCACATTGGTGCTATGAGGATTATATGCAATTACCCAGCCCAGTGCCTGGCACATAGTTGGGTGATAGCTAAATGGCCACTATTATCTTTTCTAGTAATGTTATATTTAAGCAATATTTAAAAAATAAAAGCAATGCCCAGAATGGAAGAGATAATGGATTACAAAATAGTTGACCAAGACACTGATTGTTTTGAGATCAGAAAAAAAGGAAAATTCTTGGAATCTGAAATAGGTTTGCTTCATGCAAATTGTATTTTAGCCCTAATTACAATTTACTATTTTGGGAAGCTCACTAAGTTCCAGGTGCTAGGCTGAGCTCTTGACAATTTCATCTCTTTTTGACTTTCACAATCAAACGATGTAGATATGATCACTCCTAATTTACAGATGAGAAAATGAGGCTCAGAGAGGCTTAGTCACAAAGGCCTGACACTGATGCACATGATTTTTCCACCTAATCAAACTGTCTCCATCATAGAATTATAGTCTATTAGAGCTAGAAGGAAATGCAGAGGCCAGCTTGTTCTAATTGCTAACTTGACAGGTAAAGAAGCAGAGGTCCAGAGAAGAAAAGTGATTTGCACAAATTCACACATTTAACTAGTGACATAACTGAAATTAGAAACCAAGGCTTTTGGTTCCAAGTTGGTGTCATTTTCAATATTTTCACATTTTTTCCCAATGAATCTTAAATCAATAGCACTTATAAAATACAAATGTAAAAAGACTGTGTTAAGAAAAATCTTTGTGCTTCACATCAATTTTACATTACCTGTCTTCTTTGCTGGGTAAATACTTAATGATTTCCTATTTCTGAGAAATCATTCTCTACCTCACATTCCACTCCATTTCACCACCAGCACACCCCTGACACTCACAATACACACGACCTGTTTTAATTCAGAAGGTAAAATGCAGGCTAAATTTATATCCCAGCATGTGGGGCTTCTTTTTAAGCCCAGGCTTAATTGAACCATTCCCTGCCCAAACTCACTTTTCTTTGGGATTTGGAGCTAATCTGTTTACTAAGAACTCTGCAACCTAGGACAAGTATGACAAATATCTACTAATAGATATTAATAATTCATCACAGAATTCTTTTACCCTTTGCTCATGAATGGTCCCAAACTCAATCAGAATACCAGTCAATCAGATTGTCAAGTGAGATGAAAACTTTTTGTTCTCCCTAATCCTTTTCCTTGGTCTAAAATAATTATACTGCTTTGTCCCTCTTTTGTTTCTGTTATAGTGCTCCACCATTTCCTAAAGTTTCCTTAAGCACAAAAGCAAATCCAAAAATCAGTAGTTGATTTGCTTTATCTTATCTTTCAGTACTTGAATTCAATCCTTTTTTACTTTTCTGAAAGTGCAATTGTTTGTCAGAAAGCAAACACCTGTGTAACCCTCAAGACTACCAAATAAAATATTGTCAGTGTCCTTTGTGTCCCCTCTCAATCATTGCCTCTCAAAGTTACCATTACTATGAATGGTAGGTAATTGCTTTTGTTTATACCACCTAAGCTGGCATTATTAAACATTTCCTTTTGTCCTGTTTTTGAACTAAATTTAAAATGAGTCATACTATACATACATATATATGTATATATATGTGTGTGTGTATATATATATATGTATATATATATATGTGTGTGTATATATATATATATATACACATATATATATATATGTATATGGCTTCTTTCACTCAACATTATTCCATGCACTCATGGATATTCCCCAAGTTGTTTAAAAATTCTACTATTAAAGACATTGAGTAGTTTTTAGTTTTGACTATGGTAAGAAATGCTGCTATGAACATTTTTATGCATATCTCTTAATATAAATGTTTTGTATTATCTTAGGTGTATATTAAAGAGTAGAATTACAAGGTCATAACCTACGTGTATTTTCAGCTTTAGTAGACACATTTTTTACAAAGTGGTGTAGCAGTATACAACCCGATCTCCCTAATACTGATTAGTGATATTTTAAAATTTAGGCTTTTCTATAGGTGGTTTTAATTTGCAGTTTCCTCATTACTAATGAGGCTGAATATCTTTTCCTATATTCTGTGTGTTTACTTGATATTTGTCTATCATTCTGTGTGTGTGTGTGTGTGTGTGTGTGTGTATGTGTGTGTGTGTTTAGTGCCTTTTCAGTTGTCTTGTCCTTTTTTCTATTGGGTTGTCTGCCTCCTTGTTATTCACATATGGAGTTCTTTATATAATCAGGAAAAAAGTTCTTTGCCAGCAATATGTGTTGAAAGTATGTTTTCCCTCTTAGTATTTTTGCCTTTTCACTTATTTTATTTATTTATTTATTTAGTTATTTACTTAGTTTTCTGAGACAGAGTCTCGCTCTGTCTTCCAGGCTGGAGTGCAGTGGCACAATCTCAGCTCACTAAAACTTCTGCCTCTCAGGTTCAAGTAATTCTCCTGCCTCAGCCTTCCGTGTAGCTGGGACTACAAGCACGCACCACCATGCCTGGGTAAGTTTTGTATTTTTAGTAGAGAGGGGGTTTCGCCATGTTGACCAGGCTGGTCTCGAACTCCTGACCTCAGGTGATCTGCCCACCTCGGCCTCCCAAAGTGTTGGGATTACAGGTGTGAGCCACCACACCTGGCCCCTTTTCACTTTTTTAATGGTATATTTCAATGAACAGAAATGTCCAGTTTTTATATATAACCTGATTTATCAATCTTTCTCTTAAAGTTAATAATTTTGTTTCCCATTTAATAAATTTTTTGCCTGTAGAGATATTATGACTATATTCTACTATATTATCTCTTAGATGCTTTGTTATTTTCCTTTGCACATTTAAATTTTTAATACATATGGAATTGATGTTTGGGTATTATGTAAAGCAGGGTTCGAGCTTCTGTCATTTGTTTCTTTGCATTGTAAGTATTCCCAATACATTGTTAAAAACACCACCACACCACCATATCCCCAATATTATAGCACCACTATTGTTGTAAATCACATCTCTCTCTCTCTATATATATATATAAATACATATATATATATCAGTCTGTGGATATATATATATATCAGTCTGCAGATGGGCTATTGATCCTATTAATTTGATTATTTGTATCTTCATAAACCAATACCATGTTGTTTCAATTACTGTAGCATTTTAAGTTTTGACATACAGTAGAGCAATGCCAACCATTAACGGTTGGTTAAGGTGGAGATGAGTCTGCAGAAAATACAAAGAAAGAACATTAGAGAAATAATAAAATATCCAGGGCTCAATCCTTGGACCACTTCTCTTTTTTGTCTACACATTTTCTAGGTCATCTCATCTAGTCTCATGGTTTGAAATATCATCTGTATACTAATGGATCAAAACTTTATTTCTCCAGCCTGGACTTCTTCTCTGTGTCCTGGACTCAACTCTCCCAGAGCCTAAATAGCCACTTGAAAATCCAAGAGTCATCTCAAATTTAACATGTCCCAAACTGCCTCCTCATATCTACCTCTCTCTAATAAACTTTTAGCTCTTTTGCAGTCATTTCCATCTCAGTTAAATAACAATTCAATTATTCCATAAATCTTGGTGTCATTTTAAACTCTCTCTTTCTCACACTCTACACCCATTGCATCAGCAAATTCTTTTTGTTGTGCATGAAATTATATCCCAAATTAATAACGTCTTCCTATTCCCACTGCTGACACTGTGGTCTAAACCACCATTTTCTCTCGCCAGCTTCTAGCTGGTCTCTCTGCCTCTGCCTGGAGAGAAGTCTCCCATAATCTATTCTCTATGCAGAAAACCTAATTATTATTGTGTTATTGTCCCTTTTGAAAATAGCTTAATGAATTTTACTTAGAGTAAAAGCCAAAATACTCATTATGTTAAACAGTTACCTAAATAACCTGATTCTCTGATATCTCTCTGATTTCATCTATTAACATTTTTCCTCTTACTCTCTCTTTTCCAGCTACCTTGGCCTCAGACATTCCAGGCATGTTCCCTTCTTGGTGCTTTCACTTGAGTTGTTCCCTCTGCCTGGAACATCATCAGTTGTCTCCCTGCAGATAGCTATGTATCTGAATTCCTTATTCTGTTTTGTCCTTTAATCCAAAGTTATCTTCTCTGCGAGACCATTCCTGGATGCCCTATCTAAAATTTCACAGTCTGACATCCTTTTATATTTATTTCTATGCCCTATTTTTCTCCCAAACACTTGTAACATTTAACATACTGTCTAACATGCATGTTTTACTTATTTATAGTACTTACGGCCAGAAGGGGAATATGGTAAATGTCCACATAAGTGAGTTTATAAATCTGGTTGGTTGAGGAGTCCATAATCTACTCTATAGAATGTGCCTAGATGCCGCTACATAGTAACTCCAAAGGGCTTGGCTGGGAAGTCCGAATTTCTTTGAACTATGTTTTGAAAAAATTATTCATGATTGTCCATTTCTGTGCTTTATGAACATATTTGAACACTTTGTCTTTTAAATATAGTTGAAAGTGGGGAAGATGAAGAGGTAGAACAGGGACAAGAAGAGAAAAATATGCATATGCAAGTCCAGTGTAACCTCATTTGAGCTTAAAAATTCTTGGCAATTTAAGAAGTAGTTGAAAGTTATATCTATAGGTTTAGTTATGATGGTGTCAGTGCAAATGTAGTAAAGCCTGAAATCTGATTGGCTTTATTAAAGGCCCAGTTAGTTAATTCCAGGTCACTCACAGTAAATATAAGTTACAGTGTTGTTAGAAAATATTAGCACTATCCAAGCACTCACTCTCCTATGAGGCATTCAGTGAGTGAGGTGACTTTCTAGATAAACAAATGGACATTTTGGATTCAAAGACTGTGTCTGTTAGGGATTAAGTAATGTCTCCCCACCAAAGATGTTGAAAGTATTATCCCATTACCTGTGACTGTGACCTTTATTTGGGAATTGGGTCTTTGCAAGTGATCAAGTTAAAAGAAGGTCATAAGGGTACAGCCTAATCCAATGTGACCGGTATCTTTATAAAAAGGAAATTTGGACACAGACTGACAGGCACATGGGAGAATGCCATATGAAGATGAAGACAGTGATCAGGGTGATGAATCTACAAGCCAAGGAATGCCAAAGATTGCCAGCGAACCACAAGAAGCGAGGCAAGAGGCATGGAACAGACTCTTTCTCACAGCCCTCAGAAAGAACCAACCCTGCCAACACTTTGATCTCATACTTCTATCCTCCAGAACTGTGAGACAATAAATTTCTGGTGTTTAAGCCACTCAGTTTGTGTTACTTTGTTATGGCAGCCCTAGGAAGCTAATACAGTCCCTATTCTTTTATAGAACAACTTGAGTAAATAACATTTGACTTGTGACCATGTTCAAAGGAAAATAATTTTCATCGAGTAAGATTGCCAAGCATTGAAGAGTCATTATTTTAAAAATAAACTTTCTTTTTTAGAACAGTTTTAGATTTAGATAAATATTGCAGGCCGGGCACGATGGTTCATGCCTGTAATCCCAGCCCTTTGGGAGGCAGAGGCAGGCAGATCATGAGGTCAGGAGTTTGAGACCAGCCTGGCCAACATGGCGAAAACCTGTCTCTACTAAAGATACAAAAAATTAGCTGGGCGTGGTGGCGAGTGCCTATAAGCCCAGCTACTCGGGAGGCTGAGGCAGGAGAATTGCTTGAACCAGGAGGCGGAGGTTGCAGTGAGCTGAGATTGCACCATTCCACTCCAGCCTGGGCGACAGGGTGAGACTCTGTCTCCGAAAAAAAAAAAAAAAAGAAAAGAAAAAAAAATTGCAAAGATGCTACAGAGAATTCCCATTTCCCCCCAACCACATACACACACAGATTCCCCTATTATTACCATCTTACATTAGTATGGTATATTTGTTATGACTAATGAACAAATGTTGATACATTATTATTTACCCTTATGAATGGATTAGTGCCTTAAGAGCTGCAGGCCAGTAGTTTAGGCTCTTTTTGCTCTTTTGCTCTTCTAAGAACATGGCATTCCTCTCCTCCAGAGAGTGCAGCAACAAGATGCCATCTTGGAAGCAGAGAGCAGTCTTCGCCCAGCATGTAACCTGCTGGTGGCTTTAATCTTGGACTTACTAGCCTCCAGAACTGCGTGAAATAAGTATTTTGTTACGCCAGCGCAGATGAACCAAGATACCATGTTACATTTAGTTGTCTTGTCTTTTTAGCTCCTTTTGGCTGTGACAGTTCTTGACTTTTCTTGGTTTTGATGACCTTGACCATTTAAAGGAGTACTGATCAGGTATTCTGTGGAATGACTCTGTTGTGATTTGGTTGTTGTTTTTTCTCATGATTAAACTGAGGATGAGTCTTTTGGGAACAATCACGGAAGTATGTTACCCTTTTCATCACACCATATAAAGGGTACATACTATCAACATGATGACATAATTGTTGATGTTAATCTTGATCACCTAGCTGAAGGAATATTTATAAGGGTTCTTCACTGTAAAGTTACTGTCTTCATTCCCTCTTTCCATACTGTATTATTTGGAAAGATGTCACTATGAGCAACTCATACTTAAGTTATGGAAAGTTATGCTTCACTTCATTTAGGGTGGAGAATATACACAAATTATTTAGAATTTATCTGCATGATGAATTTACCTCTTTTAGTCCATTTATTTATTTATTTAATAATGTCTTATATCAGTATAGACTCATGGATAAACATTCATGAGTATATTACATAACATTATTATAGTTCGGTATATTATAGTTTGAATATATTATAGTTTGGTCATAATTCAACACTAGTGATTTTATTGTTAAAATTGTTCCACCTTTAGTCATTGGAAATTCTTTCAGTTGCCTTCTACGTTCTTTTGACTATTAAAATTATCTCTTTCTTCTTGAATGAACTTCTCTCTTTCTTCTTTAGTTTTTGCCTTTCAAAAAATTGGTACATTGAATCTAAGTTATCAAATTTGTGGGCATAGAGTTGTTTGTAGTATTTTTTCATTATTCTTTTGATGTCAATAAGAACAGTAGTAGTTGTGACCCGTCTTTCATTTGTGATATTGTTAATTTTTGTCTTTTTTGTCTTGATTAGATTACTTAAAGGTATAGCAATGTCATTGGTCATTTCGAATATTTGTGCCCTAATTTCTATTATTTCATTCTATTTGCTTTAGGCTTAAATTGTTCTTTCTGTATTTTCCTAAGTCAGAAGCTTTGATTATTTCTTTTGGATCCTTCTTTTTTCTAATTATTTGCATTTTATGCTACAAATGTCACTCTAAGCCGGGTGCTGTGGCTCACACCTGTAATCCTAGCATTTTGGGAGGCTGAGGTGGGTGGATCACTTGAGCCCAGGAGTTCGAGACCAGCCTGGGCAACATGGCAAAACCCCGTCTCTACAAAAATTACAAAAAATAGTCAGGCATGATGGTGGGCACCTGTAATCTCAGCTACTCAGGAAGCTATGGTGGGAAGATCACTTGAGCCTGGGAGGTCAAGGCTATGGTGAGCTGTGATCATGCCACTGTACTCTAGCCTGGGTGACAGAGTGAGACCCTGTTTCAAAAAAAAAAAAAAAAAAAGTCACTCTAAGCACTGCTTGTGTTGTATCCCATCCTTTTTAATATTTTATTTTCATTTTTATTCAGTTCAAGGTATTTTTTATTGCCCTTAAGACTTCTTTGACCTATGTGTTATTTAGAAGTGTGTCGTTTAATTTCCAAATACATTGGTATTTTCCATCTGTCTTTCTTTTATTGATTTCTAGCTTAATTCCATTGTGATCTCAGAGCATCCTTATATGATTTCTATTATTTTAAATTTATTAAGATGTGTTTTGTAACACAGAATATGGTCTATCTTGGTGAATTTTCCATGTAAGCTTGAAAAGAATGTTTATTCTGCTGCTGTTGGATGAAGTATTCTACCAATGTCAATTAGATCCAGTTGATTGATGCTGCTGTTCAAGTCAACTATATCCTTACTTCCTGGCCTGTTTGATTTATCAATTACTGAAAGTGGTGCGGTGAAGTCTTCTATTATGAGTAGATTGTCTATTTCTCCTTGCAGTTCTATCAATTTTTGCCACGTGTATTTTTATACTCTGTTGTTAATTGTATACACATTAAAGATTGTTGGCAGGGCGCGGTGGCTCACTCCTGTAATCCCAGCACTTTGGGAGGCCAAGGTGGGCAGATCACAAGGTCAGGAGATCGAGACTATTAACCCGGTGAAACCCCGTCTCTACTAAAAACACACAAAAAAAATTAGCCAGGCGTGGTGGCGGGCGCCTGTAGTCCCAGCTACTCAGGAGGCTGAGGCAGGAGAATGGTGTGAACCCGGGAGGTGGAGCTTGCAGTGGACCGAGATCGTGCCACTGCACTCCAGCCAGGGCGACAGATCTAGATAGACTCTGTCTCAAAAAACAAAAAAGATTGTTATGTCTTCTTGGAGAATCAACCCCTTTACTGTTATTTAAGGCCTTTCTTTATCTCTGACATGTTTTCTTGTTCCGAAGTCTGCTTAGTTTGAAATTAATATAGCAACTTCAGCATTCTTTTGATTAGTGTAATGACATATCTTTCTCCATCTCTTTAGTTTTAACCAATCTGTGCCATTATATTTAAAGTGGCTTTCCTGTAGATAACATATGGTAGTGGTTTTAAAAAAATCCACCCTGACAATCTTTGTCTTTTAAGTGGTGTATTCTGATAATTTATATTTATTTATTTATTTTAATTTTTGCTTTTTTTTGGTAACTTTAATTTTAAATTCAGGGGGTGCATGTGCAGGTTTGTTATCTGAGTATATTGTGTGATGCTGAGGTCTGGGGTACAAATGATCCCATCACCCACGTACTAAGCGTAGTACCCAAGAGCCTTTCGACTCTCATACGCCCTTTCCCATCTAGTAGTCCCTGGTCTACTGTTGCCATCTTTATGTCCATGAGTACCCAAGGTTTAACTCCCATGTATAAGTGAGAACATGTAGTATTTCAGATCATTTACATTTAAAGTGAGTATTGATAAAGTTAGATTAGTATCTACCATGTTGTAACTGTCTTCTATTATTTGCATTATTGTTATTTTTTCCCCCTCATTTCATTTTATGCTTTCTCTAATTGAGAATTTTATTTAGCTCCATTTTATCTCCTCTCTTTTCTTGAAAAAAAAAAAAAAGTCAGTGGTTGCCCTAGAGTTTGCAATATATATTTTTAATGAATCTAAGTTTAACATAAAGTAGTACTCTACCATTTCAGGTGTAGGGGAAGTAACTTGTAAGAGATTATTCCCAATTCCTCTTCCCATTTCCAACAACATTGCTATCATTAATTTCACTTATTTGCATGCTATAATCATTCAGTAAATTATTACTATAATTACTTTAAACAATTATCTTTTAGATAAATTAAGGATAAGAAAGATAAAAGATTTTATCTTACCTTCATTCATTTCTTCTCCAGTGTTTTTCCTTTATTGATGTAGTTCCAAGTTTCCGGACCTATATAATTTTCCTTTTTATTTGTCTGAGAATGTCCTTATATTTCCCTCACTTTTGAAGAATGATTTTGGTGGATACAGAATTCAAAGTTGGTGGTTTTATTTTTTCAAAACTTTAAATATTTCACTCCAGTCTACTCTTGTTTGCATGGTTTCTGATAAAAAGTGCATTGTAATCCTTATCCTTGCTCCTCTCTAAGCAAGATATATTTCTTTTTCTGTTTTTTTCTTTTTTTTTTTTTTTTGATAGAGTATTGCTCTGTCACCCAGGCTGGAGTACAGTGGGCTCATTACAGATACTAGCTCATTACAACCTCCAGCCCCCGGGTTCAAGTGATTCTCGTGCCTCAGCCTCCCGAGTAGCTGAGATTATGGCATGCACCACCACGCCCAGCTAATTTTTCTATTTTCAGTAGAGATGGGGTTTCACCATGTTGGCCAGGCTGGTCTCGAACTCCTGGCATCAAGTGGTCTGCCAGCCTCGACCTCCCAAAGTGCTGGGATTATAGGTGTGAGCCACAGCACCTGGCCCCCTCTGGCTTCTTTCAAGATTTTCTTCTTGTCTTCAGTTTTTTACAGCTTGAACATAATATATAAAGTTATATATTTCTTATTATTTATCCTGCTTAGTGTTCTCTGAACTGTGTCTGCCATTAATTTTGTAAAATTTTCAGCTTTTTTTACTTCAAATATTTCTTTACTTAAGTTTCTTTTTTTTTCCTTCTAGTACTCCAATTACCTATACATTATACCTTTTAAAATTGTTTCCAGTATTTGGATGTTCTTTTCTGATTTTTTTTCTATCTTCAAGTTCACTGATTCTATTCTCATCTGTGCTTGATCTGTTCGTGAGTTCATCAAAGGCATTCCGAATTTCTGTTAGTATTTCTGCTTTCTAGGATTTCCTTTTGATGATTTCTTAGGATTTTATTCCTCTGCTTACTTAATCCATGTGTTCCTGAATGTTGACAACTTTTTGCATTATAGTCCTTTGGTTATTATTAATAGTTGTTTTAAAGTCTCTGTCTGATACAGGTTGAGATCCCAAATCTGAACATTCAAAATACCCCAAAATTCAAATCTTTTTGAGTGCTGATATGATGTTCAAAGGAAACGCTCATTGGAGCATTTTAGAGTTTGAATTTTCAGATTTGGGATGCTCAACTGGTAAACATAGTGCAAATATTCCAAAATCTAAAAACATTTCTGTCCCCAAGCATTTCGGTTAAGGATATTCAAAAATCTATGCCATACTCAAGTCAGATTTTTGATGTTTGCTTTGTCTGTTCAGATTGTACTTTTCCCTGCCTTTTAGCATGACTTGTAATGTTTCTTTAAAAAAAAAAAAATAGTGTGTCAGGTAATGGAAAGTAAGGTGAGTATGTCTTAGTGTGAGGATTTATATTAGTCCAGCTAGGAGTTGGGCTTTGTTTAATATTTGCTATGGCTGTGCGTTCCAGAGGCTTAAAACTTTTATAGTGTCCTTTTTTTGTCTACCCTATTTTCTTTGGACTTTTCTAAGAAATTCTTTGATAGAGTCTGCATCTTGCAGTTATTTCAGCTTTAACTCACTGTTATTAAACAGAGTCCTGTTGGTATGGCTGTAAAACACTGAAGGGGGGAAGCTTTCTATAATCTTATGATTACATTTCAGTTCTTTTAGTGGGCCTGTATCCCTGGCCTGTGTCCTTCACAACTGTTTCTTAGCTTTTTACATCCCTTAAGTGATACATGAAGGCTGGGGATAAGCGGGTAGGCTAGGAGTAGGGGGTAGGCTGGGTTAGAGTCAGGAAAATGCTTTTCCCCCAGGTGATTTTGGCAGTGGTTTTGGCAGACTATTTTCATCTGAAAAGTAGGCTTTTGTTATGGAGAACACTCAGAGCATATTTCACAATGATTAGTTTTCACCTCAAATTCCCAGAACCACAAAGTGATCTTTCTTGGCTCTTTACCATGACAACCTGGTGGAATTCCTAGAGGTCAAACCCACTACAGTGTTGAGGCCCTCATAGGACAGTGATTGCCCCAGGAGAGAGAAGCTAGCAACCATAGTTTAAATACAGATACTCCTTGACTTACAATGAGTTAAGCTCTATTGTAAGTTGAAGATGTCATAAGTCAAAGATGTATTTAATACACCTAACCTACCAGATGTCATAGCTTAGCTTAGCCTACCTTAAACATGCTCAGAACACTTACATTACCCTACAATTGGGAAAAATCTAACACAAAACCATAATAGAAGTATGGTTCCCACTGAATGCATATCACCTTTGCACCATTGTAAAGTCAAAAAATTGCAGGTTGAACCATCGTAAGTTGGGGACTATCTGTATTCCTAAGGGTAAGTTCAGTGGAAAATAGAGCTTCAATCCCCACCAGGACTCAGACAAAGCCCCTAGGTTGATCTGTTCTAGAAATTACAACTCCGTCTCAGGAACATAATTGGGCAATTGTTCTGTTATGTGTTATGGGTTTGGTGCACTATTCTAAGATATTCATATTTAATTTGCAGGTATCTTTCACAAGCTATCATGTATAATTAAACATTCAAATCAAATCAAAATGTGAAAGCCATCATTTAAAATTTCATAAATCTGTACAAGTAACATCTGTTGTTATTTGGTATTACCTACTCCATGATCTTTGAATACAAATAAAGACTCAATGCAAATAAAGATTCATTTCTTTTATTTCTCAATCCTTATTATTCTTCCCTTACCAGGTTAATTCTTAGAAGCAATGATCCATCTTTTCTTCTTGAAATTCTCTCTCCTTCTTGCTGTTGTTATTTTAATAGGTGTTATATTTTAGAGCAGTTCACAGAGAAATTTAGTGAAAGGTACAGAGTTCCCATATACTCCCTGCCCCCACACATACATAATCTGTCCTACTATCAACATTCCACATCAGAATGGTTCATTTGTTACAACTGATCAACTTACATTAACACATCATCACCCTTTATCTATAGTTTACATTAAGGTTCACTCCTAGTATACATTTTATGGATTTCACAGATGTAGGATGACATGTATCCATTCATATAGTATCATAAAGAACAGTTTTCACTGGCCTAAAAAGTGCTCCTCTAATTCATCCCTCCTTCCCCACATTCCCCGACAACCACTGATTCTTTTATTGCCTCCATAGTTTTGCTTTTTCCAGAATGTCATATAGTTGTAATCATACAATATTTAGCATTTTCAGACTGGCTTCTTCCACTCAGTAATATGCATTTCAGGTTTCTTCATGTGTTTTCATGGCTTGATGTTTCATTTCTTTTAGTGTTCAATGATATTCTGTTATGAAAATGTACCACCATTTACTTATCCATTCACCCTACTGAAGGATATGTTATTTGCTTCCTAGTTTTGGCAATTATGGATAAAGCTGCTATAAACATCTGTGTGAAGCTTTTTGTGTGAATATAAGTTTTCAACTTTTTGGGTAAATACCAAGAAACTCACTTGCTGGGTCATATGGTAAGATTATTATAGCTTTATAATAAGTCTTAAAGTTGGGTACTATTAGTCCTTCAACTTTGTTATCTTTCAACATTGTGTTGGTAAGTCTGTTGTTGTCTCTCCAAATAAACTTTAGACATAGTTTACAAATATTCACAGAATGATTTGCTGGAATTTTGACTGGGATTGCACTGAATGTAGATCAAGGTGGGAAGAACTCACATCTTGACAATATTATATTTTTCTCAGTGAATATGAAATATCCATTTATTTAATTCATTGATTTCTTTCAGCAGTGTGTTTTATGTTTCATCATATAGATCTTGTACATAATTTTGTTAGATTTATTCCTAAGTGCATACCTAAGATATGCTTAAGGCATAACTCATTTTATTGTGTTTCACTTTATTGCACTTCACAGATACTGTGTTTTTTACAATTAAGTGTTCATGACAATCTTCCATCAAGCAAGTCTATTGGTGCCATTTTTGCAACAGCATGTGCTCACTTCATGTCTCTCTGTCATGTTTTGGTAATTTTCACAATATTTCAAACTTTTTCATTATTATTATGTCTGTTTTGGTTATCTGTGATCAGTGATCTTTGACGTTACTATTGTGATTGTTTTGGTGTGTCACAAACTGTGTCCATATGAGATGTTTAACTTAATCAATGAATGTTGTGTGTGTTCTGACTGACCCATCATCAAACCATTCCCCTCTCTCTCCCTTGTTTTGGCCTCTCTATGCCCTGAGACACAAAAATATTAAAATTAGGTCAATAAATAACCCTACAATGGCCTCTAAGTATTCAGGTGAAAGGGAGAGTCACATATTTCTCACTTTTTTTTTAACTTTTAAGTTTAGGGGTACATGTGTAGGTTCGTTACATAGGCAAACTTGTTTCATGGTGGTTTTTGTACAGATTATTTCATCACCCATGTATTAAGCTGTTTCTCACTTTAAATCAGAAACTAGAAATGATTAAGTTTGGCGAGGAAAGCGTGTCAAGAGCTAAGGTAGGCCAAAAGCTAGGGTTCTTCTGGAAAAAATTCAATTATCCACAATTTTCCTTTGCATTGTGAACGCTCCTTAATTCTATAAAGACTGAGAGAGGTAAGGAAGCTACAGAGGAAAAGTGTGAAGCAAGCAGAAGTTTGTTTATGAGGTTTAAGGAAAGAAGTCCTCTCCATAACGTGATGGTGGAGGGTGAAGCTTCAAATGCTGATGTAGAAGCTACAGCAAGTTATCCAGAAGATCTAGCTAAAATAATTGATGAAGGTGGCTACACAGAACAACATATTTCCAATGTAGACAAAACAGCCTCATATTGGAAGAAAATGCCATCTGAGACTTTCATAGATAGAGAGAAGTAAGTGCCTGGCTTCAAAGCTTCAAAAAATAGGCTACCTCTCTTGTTAGGAGCTAATGCCATTGGTAACTTTAAGTTGAAGTCAATGCTCATTTACCATTTTAAAAATCCTAGGGCTCTTAACAATTATTCCCAGCCTACTTTGCTTGTGCCCTATAAAAATGGAACAACCAAGCCTGGATGAGAGAGCATGTCTGTTTACAGCATGGTTTATTGAATATTTTAAGCCCACTATTGAGACCTACTACTCAGAAAAAAGGATTCCTCTCAAAATATTATTACTCATTGAAAACACACCTGGTCACCCAAGAGCTCTGATGGAGACGTGCAGGAGATTAATGTTGTTTTCATGCTTGTTAACACAGCATCCATTCTGCAGTTCATGGATCAAGAAGTAATTTTGACTTTCAAGTCTTATTATTTAACGAATACATTTCATAAAGCTATAGTTTGCATAGATAGTGATTTCTGTGATGGATGTGTACAAAGTAAATTGAAAACCTTCTGGAAAGGATTTACTGTTCTCAATGCCATTAAGAACATTTATAATTCATGAAAGAGGTCAACATATTAATATAAACAGGATTTGGGAAGAAATTGATCTCAACCACCATGGATGACTTTGAGAAGTTCAAGACTTCAATGGAGGAAGTAACTGAAGATGTGGTAGAAATAGCAAGAGAACTAAAATTAGGAGTGGAGACTGGAGATGTGACTGAATTGCTATAGTCTCATGATCAAACTTGAATGGGTGAGGAGTTGCTTTTTATAGATGACAAGGAAAGTGGTTTCTTGAGGTGAGGTCTATTCCTACTAAGGATTCTTTGAACATTGTTGAAATTACAAGACAGCATTCAGAATATTACATAAACATAATTAATAAAGGAACAGCAAGGTTTGAGAGGATTGACTCCAATTCTGAAGGAAATTCTACTGGGGGTAAAATACTATTAAATAGTGTCTCACATTACAGAGAAATCTTTGGTGAGTTAAAGAGTCAATCAAGGTAGCAAACTTCATGGTTGTATCATTTTAAGAAATTGTCATAGCCATCTCAATCTTTTCTAAACATTACTCAGATCAGTCCACAACTATCAACATCAAGGCAAGATTCTCCACAAGCAAAAAGATTATGACTTGCTGAAGTCTCAGATGACTGTTAGCATTTGGAAGCAATACTGTATTTTTAAATTAAGGGATATATATTGCTTTTTAGACATAATGTTACTGCATACTTAATAGAATATATATAATGTAAACATAACTTTTATATGCATTGGGAAACTAAAACATTTTTGTGACTTGCTTTATTGCAATATTTGCTTTATTGCAGTGGTCTCTACCTACACCCTCAATATCTCAAGGTATTGAGATATTTTATTTTTTAGGGTGCTAATGTAAATGGTATTGTGTTGTTAATTTCAAATTACACTTACTCATTGCTAATGTATAAGAAAGTGATAGACTTGTATCAATCTTGTATCCTGCAACCTGGCTATATTTGCTTGTTAGTACCAGGAGGTTTTTTGCTGGCTCTTTCGGGTTTTCTATACAATTATGTCACTTGTGAATAAAGACAGCTTGATTTCTTCCTCCCTTTTAGTTGTGAGACCTCTTTCTCTTGGTTTTGTCCTTTTGTCTTCTTGATCTCTTCTTTTAGCAAAATATATTGTCTAGAGAATATGTAATTCATCTACAGTAATATGCTCTCTCTACCAAGAATTTTTCCTATGCACTCAACTTTGTCATAAATTGACTTCCAATTAAAGAAGCCTGAAGCCCACATGGGGATTATAAGGAATCTTAGATCATTTTATCTTGCTTTCATACATTTAACTTATATATAACATGAAAAAGAATTAAACCACAGCCAAGAGTATTTCTGATGAAAAAATAAAATTTTTTAAACTCATTTTTAGATATCCATGGTAATTCAACATGTTTTATGGCTCCAAGAAATCAATGAAATAATCTGGATTATAATTACCTGAAATAGGCTGGGCACAGTGGCTCATGCCTGTAATCCTAGCACTTTGGGAGGTTGAGGCCGGAGGATTGCCTGAGCTCAGGAGTTCAAGATCAGCCTGGGCAACACGGTGAAACCCTGTCTCTACTAAAAATACAAAAAAAAAAAAAAATTAGTCAGGCATGGCAGCATGCACCTTTCGTCCCAGCAACTCAGGAGGCTGAGGCAGGAGAATTGCTTGAACCCGTGAGATAGAGGTTGCAGTGAGATGAGATCACACCACTGCACTACAGCCTGGGTGACAGAGCAAGACTCTGTTTCAAAAAAAAAAAAAAAAAAAACCTAGAACCATTTTAATAACCTGAAAATAAGAAAACTATTAAAAAAGAATAATTCAAAATGTTTACTATATATAATGTCTCTTTAACACAAAACAAAACAATATTAGCATTTTATTTATAACAGAGCAAATGTCCTGGTCCAGGCAAACAAAATAATAACAATATATATTATTAAAAGGTTTCCTTTGATCATACAACATGAATTTTTCCCTAATTCTCAGCATGTATTCTCAATTATCAAGAACATAAAAATGGATACTTCCTGATAGGCAAAAACAAAAACAAACCCTTAGATTCTTAGATACAACAATGGTGTTTGATTTTCCAAAGGGCTAAATGATTTAAACAGTTATAGATCTGTGGTATTAACATTTCTTGGAGGAGCAATTATGAAGAAGATATCCAAAGGGGTGTCTTAGTGGAGCAACAATGGATAACAGATTGAGAAAAATTACTTGAGGATTATCTCAGATGCAATTTGTTATGAGTTGAATAATGTCTTCTCCCAAAAGATATGTTGAAGTCCTAAACCCCAGTACTTCAGAATGTGACTTTATTGGAAATGGAGTCATTGCAGATGCAATTAATTAAGATAAAGTCATACTAGAGTAGGTTGGATCTCTAACTAAATCTGAGTGGTGTCTTTATAAGAAGATACCCATGTAATGAGATAGAGACACAAGATGAATGCCGTGCTAACCATGCTATGCATCTGCATCGTAAGGCATGCCAAAGATTAACAGCAAACCACCAAAAGCTAGAAAAAGAATTCTTCCCTACAGGTTTCAGAGGGAACATGGGCCTGCCAACAACTCAGTTTTAAACTTTCACCATACAAAACTGTGAGACAATAAATTCCTGTCTTTTTGAATCACCCAGTTTGTGGTACTTTGCTATGGCAACACTAGGTAACCGATACACATTCTTTCATGCATTTATTCATATGCTAACCCACAAACACGTTGCCTTCTCTTTGCCTCCATCTTCTCATTAACTTATTCCTTTCAGTACACCTCCTCTTCCCTTCCAATGCAAGAGGCAGCGTCATTGCTAGCCATCTTGAGCTCTTAGAACACCTGGAGTATTTTGGGTCACAAAAGAGTTGATATGGTTTGGCTCTGTGTTCCCACCCAAATCTCATGTTGAATTGTACTCCCATAATTCCCATGTGTTGTGGAAGGGACCTGGTGGGAGATAATTTGAATCATGGGGGTGGTTCCCCCATACTGTTCTTGTGGTAGTGAATAAGTCTCACGAGATCTGATGGTTTTATCAGGGCTTTCTGCTTTTGTGTCTTCCTCATTTTCTCTTGCTGCTCCCATGTAAGAAGTTCCTTTCACCTCCCTCTATCAGGTCTCTGAGCCCAAGCCTGCACATATATCCAGATGGCCTGAAGCAACTGAAGAATCACAAAAGAAGTGAAAATGGCCAGTTCCTGCCTTAATTGATGACATTACCTTGTGAAATTCCTTCTCCTGGCTCAGAAGCTCCCCACTGAGCACCTTGTGACCCCTGCCCCTGCTTGCAAGACAACAACCCTCTTTGACTGTAATTTTCCACTACCTACCCAAATCCTATAAAACTGTCCCACCCCTAACTCCCTTTGCTGACTCTTTTTGGACTCAGCCCACCTGCACCCAGGTGATTAAAAAGCTTTATTGCTCACACAAATCCTGTTGGTGGTCTCTTCACACAGATGCACATGACATTTGGTCCTGAAACAAATTTGCCCCTGCCCCGGGCTGGCAAATTGACTTTACTCAAAAGCCCTGAGTCAGGAAACTAAAATACCTCTTGGTCTGGAAAGACACTTTCACTGGATATGTAGAGGCTTTTCCCACAAGGCCTGAGAGGGCCGCTGCAGTCATTTCTTCCCTTCTGTTAGACATAATTCACTTTCTTGCTCAGCCCCAACCTCTTCCCAGACACCAGCCCTCTAGGCGACTATCTTCCAGTCCTCCAGCAGGCTAGATAGGAAATTCGCTAGGTTGCTAATCTTCTCTTGCCTACTCCAGATTCCCAGCCATATAAAGACACGCTAGTGGGAATCAGTTCTTGTTAAGAATCCGATCCCTCAAACTCTACAACCTCATTGGACCAGACCCTACTTAGTCATCTATAATACCCCAACTGCCTCCACCTGCAGGACCCTCCCCACTGGGTTTACCATTCCAGAATAAAGCTGTGTCCATCAGACAGCCAGCTTGATCTCTCCTCTTCCTCCTAGAAGTCGCAAGTACTTATCCCTACTTCCCTTAAAGTCACCCACATTTCTAAAGAACAGTAGTGACCCTTATGAGCCTAATACATCCTTTCATTTTGTTAGGTCTATTCATCCTTACCCTACTCTTTGCAATAGTGCTTTATGCAGTCACCCCTACTACTTAAACTGCATCCTAAAAACTTTTCATCCTTGCTGTCTTCTGTCTAGTCATACTCTTATTCTTCGTTCTCACTTATCCATGAGTGCCCACCCTTGTCTACACTACTGGCTTATATTTTTTCTCCAAACCATCATAGCTGGTCCTGGTCTTATCCCCTAACCACCACTCTTAACTCCCTCTTACAGTGGATAAATGACCTTTGCTGAAAAAACACACTCCAATTCTTTCCCCTACTTTACATTTCTAGTTTTGCCTTACACAAGGTCTCTTCTTCCTCTGTGGCTCCTCTACCTACATGTGTCTACCTGTTAATTAGACAGGCACATGTACACTAGTTTTCCTTACCCCTAAAAATCAGTTTGCAAATATTACCGAACAGCTTCCTGTTCCCCTCATGACACCAATACTTCACCACTATCTTGTTTTGTTTTTCTTATTATTAATACAATAAGACGGGAATAGGTCTTGACTTACTGCTGAAAAAGGAGGACTCTGTATATTTTTAAATGAAAAGTGTTGTTTTTACCTAAATCAATCTGGCATGGTACATGGCAACATAAAAAAAAACTCAAAGATAGGGCCCAAAAACTCACCAACCAAGCAAATAATCATGCTGAACCTCCTTGGGCACTCTCTAATTGGATGTCCTGGGTCCTCCCAACTCTTAGTCCTCTAATACCTGTTTTTCTCCTTCTCTTATTCAGTCCTTGTGTCTTCCGTTTAGTTTCTCAATTCATACAAAACCGTATCGAGGCCATCACCTATCATTCTACACAACAAATGCTCTTTCTAACAACCCCACAATATCACCCCTTACCACAAAATCTTTCTTCAGCTTAATCTCTCCCACTCTAGGTTCCCATACCGCCCCTAATCCCACTCAAAGCAGCCCTGAGAAACATCGCCCATTATCTCTTCATACCACCTCCAAAAATTTTCACCACCCTAACACTTCACCACTATCTGGTTTTGCTTTTCTTATTAATATAAGACAGGAATGTCAGGCCTTTGAGCCCAAGCCTGCACGTATACATCCAGATGGCCTGAAGCAACTGAAGAATCACAAAAGAAGTGAAAATGGCCGATTCCTGCCTTAACTGATGATATTACCTTGTGAAATTCCTTCTCCTGGCTCAGAAGCTCCCCGACTAAGCACCTTGTGACCCCCACCCCTGCCTACAGGAGAACAACTCCCTTTGACTGTAATTTTCCACTACCTACCCAAATCCTATAAAACTGCCCCACCCCTAACTCCCTTTGCTGACTCTCCTTTCAGACTCACCTGCACCCAGGTGATTAAAAAGCTTTATTACTCACACAAAGCCTGTTGGTGGTCTCTTCACACGGATGCGCAAGACACCCACCATGATTCTGAGGCCTCCCAGCCATGTGGAACTGTAAGTCCAATTAAACGTCTTTTTCTTCCTAGTCTTGGGTATGTCTTTATCAGCAGCATAAAAATGGCCTAATACTGTAAACTGGTACCAATAGAGTGGGGCGTAGCTGAAAAGATACCTGAAAATGTGGAAGCGACTTTGGGACAGGGTAATAGGCAGTGGTTGGAAGAGTTTGGAGGGCTCAGAAGAAGACAGGAAAGTGTGGGAAAGTTTGGTACTTCCTAGGGACTTGTTGAATGGCTTTGACCAAAAGCCTGATAGTGACATGGAAAATAAGGTCCAGGCTGAGGTAGTTTCAGATGGAGATGAGGAACTTGCTGGAAACTGGAGCAAAGGTGACTCTTGTTATGTTTTAGCAAAGAGACTGGCAGCCTTTTTTCCTTGCCCTAGAGATTTGTGGAACCTTGAATTTGGGAGAGATGATTTAGGGTATCTGGTGGAAGAAATTTCTAAGCAGCAAAGCATTTAAGAAGTGACTTGGGTGCTATTAAAGGCATTCAGTTTTATAAGGGAAGCAGAGCATTAAAGTTTGGAAAATTTGCAGCCTGACAATATGATAGAAAAGAAAAACCCATTTTGTGGGGAAAAACTCAAGCAGGCTGCAGAAATTTGCATAAGTAACTTGGAGCTAAAGGTTAATCCCAAGACAATGGGGAAAATGTCTGCAGGGCACGTCAGAGGTTTTCACAGCAGGCCCTCCCATCACAGGCCAGGAAGCCTAGGAGGAAATGTTTAGTGGTCCAGGCCCAGGGTCCCAGTGCTGTGTGCAGCCTAGGGACTTGGTGCCCTGCGTCCCAGCTGCTCCAGCCGTGGCTGAAAGGGGCCAGTGTAGAGCTTGGGCCATGGCTTCAGAGGGTGCAAGCCCCAAGTCTTGGCAGCTTCCATGTGATGTTGAGTCTGCGAGTGCACAGAAGTCAGGAATTGAGGTTTGGGAACCTCAGTCTAGATTTCAGATGTATGGAAAATCCTGGATACCCAGGCATAAGTTTGTTGCAGGGGTGGGGCTCTCATAGAGAACCTCTGCTAGGGCAGTACAGAAGGGAAATGTGGAGTCTGAGTCCCTCCTGGGTCCCTGCTGGGCATGCCCACTTCCCGTAGGGGCCACAGAGTCCTTGCTGGGGCACCACCTAGTGAAGCTGAGAGAAAAGGGCCACCATCCTCCAGACCTCAGAATGTTAGATCCACCGATAGCTTGCATCATTCGCCTGGAAAAGCTGCAGACACTCAGTGCCAGCCCATGAAAGCAGCTGGGAGGGAGGCTGTACCCTGCAAAGCCACAGAGGCAGAGATGCCCAAGACCATAGGAACTCACCTCTTGCATCAGTGTGACCTGGATGTGAGACCTGAAGTCAAAAGAGATCATTTTGGAGCTTTAAAATTTGACTTCCCCCCTGGATTTTGGACTTGCATGGGCCCTGTAACCCCCTTTTTTGGACAATTTCTCCCAGTTGGAATGGCTGTATTTACCCAATACCTGTACCCCCATTGTATCTAGGAAGTAATTAACTTGCTTTTGATTTTACAGACTCATAGACAGAAGGGACTTGCCTTGTCTCAGATGACACATTGGACTGTGGACTTTTGGGTTAATGCTGAAATGAGTTAAGTCTTTGCGGGACTATTGGGAAGGCATGATTGTTTTTGAAATGTGAGGACATGAGACTTGGAGGGGACAGGGTGGAATGATATAGTTTGCCTCTGTGTCCCCACCCAAATCTCATCTTGAATTGTATTCCTATAATTCCCACGTGTTGTGGGAGGGACCCAGTGGGAGATAATTTGAATCATGGGGACAGTTTTCCCCATACTGTTCTTGTGGTGGTGAATAAGTCTCACAAGATCTGATGGTTTTATCAGGGGTTTCCACCTTCGCATCTTCCTCATTTTCTCTTGCTGCAGCATGTAAGAAGTGCTTTTCCCCTCCTGCCGTGATTCTGGGGCCTCCCCAGCCATGTGGAACTGTAAGTCCAATTAAACCTTTTTTTCTTCCCAGCCTCAGATATGTCTTTATCAGCAGTATGAAAATGGACTAATACAACAGTAAACTTGGTAGGAATACTTAAGATCATTTAATCTAAGTGTATTTTTACGTGTGGTGAAGCTGAATCTCCAACAGATTATGATAATTTATCATAATGCCCATGAAAATTTTAGGACAAAAAGTTGTACTAGAACATGAAGCTCCAGACTACAGGTTGATTTTTTGTTTGTTTGTTTTTCACAATATGCTGGTTTTACAGGCATTGTGAATTTAATCTAACTTTATTCATTCAACAAAGGCAATTTATTATCCGTATGCTTTTATTATAAATACATTTCCATATGTAAAAATTACTGCTTTGTCAGGCCTTTTACACAGATTTCAAAGGATCAGACTAGCTTAATATAACTATAATACACCCCTTTTGATCTTATTATTTTGCCCTGAATGTTACATTCAGCATCAAATCATTTTTGGCAGTGCTTAGAATAAAGGGGGAGTATCTTCCATGAAATATTATTTCCAGAATACATTTACCCTGGATCTTCATTCATTCATTTTCAGTTGTAATAATGAATTTCTTTCCTTATTCTCAAGGAAACAGTCGAATTGAAAAACTCTATAATCTTCTCAAGGAGTCAAATAGTTCTTCCCAATCACAATATTTACTATGGGAACACAAAATGTTTTAACTTCTATTGTCAAATGAAAGGTTTCATATTCTTGCTTATGACCCAATACTGCCCTTGGTTTATGTTTATACTCTTCCTGAGATGGAATAGAGGTTGGCGTGAGAGGGAGAAAGTCTCAAGCTTAATCCAAGATGGTAGACTATGTCACTAACTATGGGCATGCATCAAGTCAGATATTCTAGATTTTGCTTTCCAAAGCACAGAGTTGCACTCCTCATCTTTTTTTCTCAAACAAAACTGATAAAGTGGTATTATGGAAAAGTTCATGCTTCAAGGAACATAACACAGTACAGTTAATGCATCAATTTTATTCATTCAGCAAACATTTATCTAAGGCCAGCCATGTGCAAAGCACTATGCATGGTCCTGAGGAAACAACACTAGGAAAGCACAGATGATAGTTTACTTTGACATAGTTTTAAACTTGGTGGAAAAGACAAGAATTGAGTAAGAATTTAAAATGTGCTCAGTCATATAAAGAAAATTAGGGTGCTAGGAGGACTTAAAATATGATCAGAGAGTGTGTTGGTAGCATGGCTGTTTTAGTGCAGAGAAACAGAAGGCTTCTCTGAGAAAATTATGTCCAAGCTAAAATTTCCTGGATGCACAGTACTCGGGTAAGCATGTTGAGTCTAATTGAGGAAGATTATCATATTAAATTATATAGGCCTGCTTTAAGTGAGAGTTAAGTTCCTCTTGCTCTGCAAGGCAATAAACAACTTCAGAAAAAAGTCTTTAGTAAGGCTAACACTGGTGTTCAGAATGTTTTTGAAAAGTAAGGTGAAAACTTCTTACGCTGAAAATTTATTATAAACAATTAGGAACAACTCACACTAGTATTCCTTCTTCAAAAATGGAAGTAGCAATGAGAGAGTGCTTTTTACAATGATATAGTAGTTTACTGTAGCCAGCCTCTCAATGCAAATGATAAAATTGTGTGGTTGTCAGAATATTTGCTACAAAGGGGAAAAGAAAAAATCTGAGGCAGCAGTTTCTCTTAATGTGGTAATAGCCTAGTCATAAAAGAACATCCTACTTCATTGTCATGAATGTATGAATGATTCCCGTAGTTTACCATGAATATTTTTACCATTTACAAGAAAACAGCTGTTACAACTAAAAGAATGATTAGCTGCTAAGTACATAACAAGTTGCTTTTTAGGACTGCTTTCCAAAGTACCCCCATTTCACCCTTCACTTCATTTAGGTGCATGCATATTGACATAAGAGGGCATTTCCAGAATTTTCTGGATTAAGTAGAAGCAAATTCTTAAAGAAGTCCATAAGGTAAAGTTTCTGCTACTCTCAGAATTTGAGCATTTCACTGAGTTTACTCCTTCCCATTTTCAAAGAGTAAAACCCTTCTCCCACCCTCCAGAATATATCTTCAAGGTTAATGTTTAAGAATTAATTAAGCCTAACCACCTCTTAAGAGATAAGTAAGTAAATAGGCTAGTCATGATAACAAGGTTTCCAAGAGTAGACATAAAGGAATGTTAATGCATCTTTCATAATGGAAACAATAGCTTTAAAATCTTAGACTTAAAGTAACTATGGTTACAAAGCCTTGTACCGCTTTACCTTCACTTGGTTCCTTTCACTGGAGATCCACCTCTGTCATCAGGAGAGAGTCTCCTTGTGCTAATGGCTCTCAGTTTGTCATCATGAGAATATAAACATTAAATACCTTATGAACTGAGGGTGTAAATTTCTTTATCTGCTTAAGAAATGTCTTTTCAAGAAGGAAGATTTAGTCAACAAAGAAGAAAGTGTTCTCAGTTTAAGCTAACTTTTTAAATAAAAAGCATTGGCTTTCTGTTGTACCTGAAGTGTTTTGTTATCAATGATTACCAGGCCAGCTCTTCAAGTCTTTGTAGCCATCTTCCTGATGTTGACTAACTACTTTAAAAAGAATCTTTGCAGATACTTAGGGTGAAGAGGTTAAGAAGAAGGTATTATCAGAAAAGAATACTGGATTTAGGATGAATTGCTGATGACATCTTCTAAAAGAGCATTAAAGACACAGAAAATTGTTGGAACCATAACATTGGAAACAAAGCAGGACTCAAAATTATTTATATAACCTATTTTTCTAAACGATATAAAATACATAAAGAAAAGCACATGAAAATGTAAACAGCGGTTATTTCAGGGTGGGATTATGAATGATTTGGCGTAAAATACATATATTACTTACATAATTTAAAAAATTAAATTTTCCATAATAATGTACTTTAAACCACAGCCCCATGGCTTTGGCAATTACAAAAAGAACTTACTGTTTATCTTCAGAGGAGGTTGGTTAACAATATCAGAGCTATTAAAGCACTGATTTTTTTACTCAGAGAAAAAGAGTAATGAAACATGAAAGCTACCTTCAACTATTAGAACTGTCAAGTAGAGGATTGTCAAGACTAGAGGTTCTATAACGACAGCACTTGTCTTAAGAAAGACATTTCTAGCAACAAAGAAACAGACTGATACTCAAGAATTGTGGATGGCATTCAAGAAGAGGTGGGGTGGATATCAGACATATGGTAATAAAAATGATTGCTCCACTGAGTGAGAACTAAAACAGTTTGTTTTAAAAGATCCCTTTCAACCTTGGATTCTATTATACATTGCCAACATATTTGTCCCACATTCTACAGGTCAAAGGTGTTGGTTTTTCTTTTCTTCTCTACTTTTAACCCACCTGACTCCCACCTTCTTCCTGTATTGCCAGAAGGTCCTGACTTTCTGTGCAAAGAATCAATGGGGCAAATTGCCCTTGAGAACAATGCTAAAGAGTGGCAAATTGTTCGTGATAAAGTCTCTGATTTAAGTAGAATCAGAAGTGACAGAAAATAGTGACTTGTTTAATTTACCACAATGTGTTAATTATGTACAATAAGTGGTGGGGCAGGGCCCTTGACTTGAGGCTCGTGGGAGCTTCAGACAAATTACAGAGAATAAGATGGGTTCTGATTCCGACAATCCATCTAATCACCCAGACATAACCCATGCTATCCGTTCCTTCCTCCATCCCCATTATTCTCTATATTATCTCACTCAGAAATGGTCAAAACCATTCTCTGAACAATCTTCCTAAACATCCAAGTCCCCTGGTCCAGGGTATTCTTTGGGTGATCCCCAATGAGTGCGATACCCTTACCTCTCACTGACTGTGAGTAGGAAGCAAACATTTTTGTAACACCATACTTTTAGGAAACAACCAAAAAGTCCTAGAAACTTTTCTTTCAAATACCCATAACCGATTATCTTCTAACAAAAAGAACTTCATAAAGATATTTAGAATTTTAGGCAACTTAGATATTTAGAAAACCTATTCTACTCAAATGTGTAAATACTAGAGGGATAATTCAGCTGTTTGGGTATGTTTCCTTGATAATATTAAAAATGTGGATTTCTTTTACTTCACTTCTGAAATACAAACACATGCCATAGACAGGAGAACTGTAAAATCCAGTGCTTAGACCAGCTTTCTGCACTCAGCAATGAAGGGGAGGTAAAGTAACATGTTTTCTTCAACCCATCACAAGGCTCATAGCTGAGACCCCTGTAATGAAAAACAGATTAACAAAAGAAAAACATAACAAATTTATTTAACCATAGTTCTACATGACATAGAAGCTGTCAGAAATGAAGAGCCAAAAACACAGGGAAACTCTGTATTTTATGAATAGTTGTGCAGAAGAAGTATGATTGGAGGACAAAAGTGTATGATCTAATGGTAATAAACTGGAAGAAACATAGCAAGGACTGTCTGTCCAGATTCGTCTTAGCCTCTCTGAGAGGTGTGACACTTCTTCTCTTCACAGTCAGGGCAGAACACCTGTCACATTAGGGTCTTCAGGGGAGAAGGGAGGGAGGTCAGAGACTCCTGCTTCTGTGATTTTTTTCAAGTTCCTTCAACTTAAAATAGTACACTAAGGTGCCATCTTTTGGGTTATTATGTTCTGAGCCCCAACATTAAGATTGTGAAATCTGTGTGCCATTATTATTGTTGTTAATGGTATTACTATTAACAGGTGGAAAACTTATATTCTATAGTTCAGATTCAACTTATATTTATCATCTATGTGTTCCACATGATGGGCTTTTTGTTTTCATTTAAACCACTGTAACTTTGAGTGAGGAATTTTGTCCCTCTCTGTCCAGATGAATAAATGAAGTTCAAAAGATTAAGTGTGCTTGGATCACAAAACTGCCCAGAGGTAGAGTTGGGACGCAAGCTAAGGTTTCCTAAGTCCAAGACTGAGGCAAATAATTTACGAAATGCCTTCACCTGATTCATATATAATTAGCCAAACAACCTGTACTGCTTAATAATCGTAATATGAAAATGTTCACATTAACCCATAAGGTAGATAGAACATCATTATTCCCTTCCTGAGACAGATGTGTTAAACTAGTGGCCAGCACCATTCAATTGGTACAGGACGTATGTTGGATTCAAAGTCATGTTTCTGCGAAATTCTTCCTCCTGTTGTGAAGAAAAACGTTGTGAAGTATAATGATGCTCAAGGAGAACAACAAATATTAACAGTGACAAGCCCTAAATACCTCTGTTTGTCTGCAATATCTTGGCCTTTACATAACACAATTATAATTAATTATTTATCAATATAGAGGCTCTTTCTTTGCTAACCATCTAATTCCTATGGATGAGTTATATTTCAAATGATTCTATTAGTAGATTAAGAGAAAAAATTGTCAAAATTGAAGTCTTAAAATGGAGCTAGAAGATGTGGCCAAAACGGGTGAAAGAACAGGTGTCTGCCTTTATTCTACACTACTTCCGACTGGACTATGAAAGAGCAACACTCTTATTGTGGATATGTGCTAAAGAAAATAAAAAAACAAAGTTCAGTTGTTCAGTGAGTCTTATGAATATATGCAGACATGTTTACTTGTCTTGAATTGAAAATTGAATTCTAGTCTTCTTAGACTGTGAGCTATATTTTAGAAGAAGAGGCCAACAAAAGCCTACTTGTATTATCTAATCATTCTGTCTTTTGGGAGCACTCTAATTTAGCTAAAACCAGGATCTGAATTTGGCCTAGCTATAAATTAAAAGACTACTACATGGTTATGTAACTCTGCTCAAAAGTTTATTTGCCCTTACATTAAAAAATAACTCAAGTTACTCTCAATGGATTCATTAAAAACCTGATTTTTCTACTTTATAGCTATTTGGCCTGGCAGATGGGATCTGGTTTTTTCCTTATGCTGCATTTTTTGAAACAAGTATATATGGTGGGAGAGCAGCACATCCTCCCACCAACAAAAAAGCCACATTCGTATTTCAATAAAATTGCATTATTTGGCATCTACTGTTCACATATGTTCATTTGGCTATTGCTAGTCCAAGTCAATTATAGCCACAAGGGGAGTGGGTACTTGAAATTTAAACAAGGAGCTTTTTACATTTTGTAAGAGAGAAGAGGCCTCCTGACAGGTAGCTCAGTCTCTAATTCATTTTTAATGCAGTCGACAATTCTATAAATCATTTATTTTTCTCCCATTATATACTAGCTCCTGTGCTATAGAAGCCTTAAAAGAAACTTTCTGTATAATTTTGGGTAGGGGTTTGAGGGGTAGGTAAGACTCTTTGAAGGAGCCTTTAAGGAAGAATAAATTTGCCATGCAGGAAACATAGAGAATTGCAAGCAGAGAAAATGTATGGAGGTGTGGTGATTTCAGGACTAGGTCAAGTTCTCCTTATGTAGCTGAGGGCACATAGTGAAGAGGTGTAGACACAATGGTAGAGAAGGTAGATTTTTTGCTATGAAGTGCCATTATTAAATGTTTTTGAGTGAAGAATGTAAGCTCTATCACTGTGAATACTGAGAAATGGAGTATTACATTCCACAAAATGTGAAAAGAAAACTAGCAAAGAATGTCTATACCATAGGTCTGAAGTTAACCGGACTGGTAACTAGGGACAAAATGTATTTCAAAATATTGTTATTAAGCTAAGAATAAAAGTATGCAATACTATAGTCAGCTTAACTGAAAAAAATTTTTTTTCCATTCTGATTTTTAAGAATTTGATTGGGGGTTGGGAGAGAACATGGTATAGATGGAATTACTGTGAATGTTTTTTGGTTAAAGTTAAGGTCCTTCAGAGATACTGTTTGTTTAACCACTGCTTATATACATGTCAAAAGAAAACACTCAAAAGACAAAATGCACTCACAGGTTTTTTTTTTTTATGCATCAAAAATAAAGGTGGTTGAAAATGTGACTACCTGTGTGTGTCTTGATTAGCAACTGGAGTATGAACTCATTCTGACTTGGATTCATCAAAATTTTATTACTTTCCAAAATTTACGGGTATAGATTTTCATCCTCGATGGTAGTGTTTTATAATTGCATGCATGCTGTAGTCAAGAACGTGGCCTCTGGAATGAGGCAAACCTGAGTTCTGCTCCACTTAGGAGCCATATGATCCAAGCAAGTTATTAGATTCAACTGTTAAAAAGGAAAATCAGACAGTTAATCATATCTACTAAACAGTTACCGTGAAGATTAAGCAAAATGTTATAAACATGCTTATATACTGTCTGGTATATTCTAATAAATTTATACAAGTCATTAGTCAATTATGTAATTATTATTATCACCCAAAGATAAATGTGCATAATCAGTTTGAGGAAAAATCTGTGAAAACAACTTTATCTGTACACTGGAGGCAATTGATTCACTGCATTTTGCCTGATTAAATCATGAACAAAAGGGTAATAATATGAGCATATACAATACTTTATTGCAGGGGCGTCCAATCTTTTGGGTTAATTGGACCACCCTGAAAGAAGAAGAATTGTCTTGGGCCACATATAAAATACACTAACACTGATGATAGCTGATGAGCTAAAAAAAAAAAAAATCACACAAAAAATCTCAGTGTTTTAAGGTTTATGGATTTTTGTTGGGCTGCATTCAAAGCTGTCCTGGGCCATGGGTTGGTCAAGCTTGCTTTAGTGCTTAAGAAGTATTCTCTCACAAGCAAATAATTTGGTTTTTGTACCAACCCTGTGAGTTAGAAAATATAAAATATTCCTATGGTTTACAAAGAAGAAGAAGAAAAAAGAGAAAAAAGAAAAAAAAGTATAAAACATCCAAAAGAAAAAGAAAAATACCAATAAATTCATGCCAGAATAGACCAAGATGACAAAGGAAAAAGAAAAAAAGCTCTCAATAAGATTAATTTGTCCTAACTGGTTCTCTCAGGTAACTAGAGTGGAAAAACATGATGTCACCTAGTGAACTGATATTGTCAAATCAAATGATGGGGATCTAATAAATAGCAGATTTATTTAGCCTTTGTAAATAGCTGGCTATTGATTTCTCAAGTGTAGATGATTCACCCCAATAGTAAAGTTTCAGTTATAAGTTTTTTTTTTTTTTTTTTTTTTTTTTGAAACAGAGTCTCGCTCTGCAGCCAGGCTGGAGCGCAGTGGTGTGATCTCAGCTCACTGCAACCTCCACCTCCCAGGTTCAAGAGATTTTCCTGCCTCAGCCTCCCAAGTAGCTGGTATTACAGGCATGCACCACCACATTCAGCTAATTTTTGTATTTTTAGTAGAGATGGGGTTTCAACATGTTGGCCAGGATGGTCTCTGTCTCCTGACTCATAATCTGCCTGCCTCAGCCTCCCAAAGTGCTGGGATTACAGGTGTGAGCCACCACACCCGGCCTCAGTTATAACTCTTAACACATACATTATCACAAAGAAAACATATTATAAAAACATCTATTTAAAATGAATGCCATACATATAACACACGTTTATTTTTAAAAAGTACATTATTGCATAAAGTTTTCGTTTATTTTAAAAATTTGTATGTATATAGATCAAAAAACAGATGCCATGTTTACCTTTCAACCAACAAACTAATACAGACTTTAATAGTCCTCAGACTATGCAACTTGGGAAAAGAGTTCCATTGCTTAATTGAATACGACCAATGTTTCTTCAAGTTCGCATTTGATTAGATTTTCTTATTTAACATTTTCACCAATAAGAGTTTCTTTAAAAAACAATTGATCCCAAATAATTATTGAGTCTGGCAAAGTGAATGTCCAATTAATATACAATGAATTGATGAAATTTCTCAGAAAAGTGATTGTATCTAACTGAAGAGTTAAGAAAATTTTGTGGTCCTGTATATGCATGTTTTAGATTTTTATATAATATGCATATAATATAGTTTCTCTAAGAAATATTTATTCCAGCTCATATATTATTAAATATCTTAATAATTCATGTTCCACCTTGAGTATAATGATATTCAGATGTTCTATCTCCCAATCAAGTTTGAGAAACACTGTTTTAGAAGGACACATATCCAGATTATTCATTTAATTCATTATTTAATTGTCTTAAATTTCCTTGAATATGTCTTGATTAAGTAAAATATAAGCCAGCAAACTTGGTTAGTCAAATTTAAGGGGAATAAACTCATTAATATTATATGGGATTCTTATCACAAGAGTTCTTAAACTAATGAACAGCAAAAAAAATAAAGTGAATGCAACTGTTCCTTATGGCTACAAATGAGGTACTGACCAATAATGCTTCTCAGAGGTTTATTTGGCACTTACATAATGAACTTAAAAAAAAAAAAAGCCATGTTTGTGTGGATTAATTCTGAGAATTGTGTTTATCATTCATTACAGAAATTGTTAAGCTGTGTCAACTGAAGATATTCTTAAAATCTGTTGACAAAATAGTGTTTAAAATATAAAGTTTGAATAACATATGCCAAACAAGGTATGAAAACCATTAATATTTAAATTACTTTCCTTAAATGATGATGAAATCATTACAGGACCTTGAATCTCTCATTGGCTTTAATTTCTTATATTTGTATTTAACTACTTCTCCATACACAGTGTGGAATCATATAAATGGTGACAACGCAAGTTTGAAAGGTCTGTAACACTAAAGCTGGAATTCAAAGGGATTTCTGTAAAGTAAGATTCACTGACCCTCCTTGCCAAAAGAATGTCTCACATCTTAGAAAGGGGAATCGTGCTGCAATAAACACACGCATCCATGTGTCTTTACGGTAGAATGATTTATACTCCCTTAGGGTATATATTCAGTAATGGCATTGCTGATCGAATGGTAGTTCTTAGCTCTTTGAGGAATTGCCACACTGCTTTCCACAATGCTTGAACTAATTTACGCTACAACCAACAGTATATAAGTGTTCCCTTTTCTCTGCAATCTTGCCAGCATCTGTTATTTTTTGACTTTTCAATACTAGCCATTCTGATTGGTGTGAGATGGTATATCACTGTGGTTTTGATTTGCATTTATCTAATGATCAGTGATATTGGGCTTTTTTTCATAAGTGGGAGCTAAATGATGAGAACTCATGGACACAAAGAGGGGAACAAGAGACTGGGGCCTACTGGAGGGTGGAGGGTGGGAGGAGGGAGAGGAACAGAAAAAATAACTGTCGGGTACTCAGGTTAGTACCTGGGTGAGAAAACAATCTGTACAACAAACCACTGTGACACGAGTTTACCCATGTAGCAAACCTACACATGTACCCTTGAACCTAAAACAAAAGTTAAAAAAAAAAAAAAACAAAAAGAATAATCAAAAGACATAAGCTGAGAGACATGAGAAAACAGAGATAAGAGATGAGAAAGTCTTGGTTCTGTGATTTTTTCACTATAGGACCCAATTAGTCTCAGTTTTCTTGCTTATGAACCAAAAAGACTGGGGAAGCTTTAAAGTCTCTTTAAATTCTGCACTTTTTTTATTGCAAGCATATAAGATTCTCTACTCCATAATTGTTGCCCCTTTGTTTTCTTTGGTTATCCAACACATAATATAGCTAGGATAAGTATTCCAAAGTATGAATAGAGTCTGTATTTTAGCCTGACAAGTTGAGATTAGGTTTATTTCCTCATTTATCAATTTTAAAATTTAAATAGATGTCTATAAAAACCATGTTGAACTGCAGGTATCTGTAAGCGAGAAAGATTTTTCTCATTACTAAAGTATATCTATATCTATTTGTAAAAACTTGAAATGTTAATGTCATTTTAACAGAAGATGTCTTAAATATATAATCCTAAGAGAAACTCCCAAACTCATAGATAGGTCTATGTGTATGTGTGTGTCTGTTCATGTTCAATATTTTATTTAATAAATAATATAAAATTCAGTAGCCAAAATACTTAGATAACTCTAGCATTATTAGAATCCTCACACTTCAATCATGGCATGCCAGCAGCCATTTAGTGATTCTCAAAACGGATTTCATCCAATGTGCTACCCAATATTCTGTCTTTGGAATTTTGATGCATTTATATAAACCCCATGGGTTATTCAAAATAGGGTATGTAAAGCTTCTATAAAATGCCCAGGTGTTAGCAAAATTTTGGTCTTTTATTTTTCAACACTTATTCCTATATAACTTTTACAAAATTCAATTTTAAAAGAACACAATGTATTTTACATCTTCCTAATTGTCCTTAATGTTTTAAAAATTAATTTCTCATATTAATTGGACAGGCAAGAAAGGCAAAGTTCTCTAAAAGTTTCATCAACATTTTGATTTGTATTTCCAAAGACCCTTTTGAGAAATGTGTATTGGCTCACAGAGGATTCATGGGAAACTATAAAGTAATATAGGCCTTAGAATTCTCTCAGGCAATGACTAAAAACACCGTGAAAATGTGTGATCAGGGCATCCAGACCAAGGATGCTTCTGAGGGCTCACTTAAGTAGATACTTATCTCTGTTTTTCACAAAAACTTTTCCCTGAGACACTAGTTTTTCCAAAACATTCCTCACAAAAAGGAACGCCTAAACAATTTGAAATTCTTTATTTGAAATTCTTTATGTACTCTGTCTTCCTCCTAGAAATTCACAAATCACAACATATTGGGTTCCCAACAAGTACTGCAATAAAGTATACTATTTAGTTCTATTTAATCCAGAGTTTCCTAGTTATGGCGTTACCAAGTATAAAATCCAACCAATTCTACCCCCTTTCCCTGGTTCTACTTTACAGAATACTATTAATTTGTAAATTTGTAACTCCATCAAATACTCATCAGGAAACACTGCTCGAGGCCTCAAGGTCTTGGTACCATGACTGCCTTAGGCCCAGAGTGGACCCCAGGGAGCAGATATTTAGGAAAATGGCAAAAATCTGGGAAATGCATGATGGTTGTTAAAAATAGAATTATTAATTCAATTTTTATTTCATAGAGCATAATGATGTACTGATGTTTTATGTTTTAGTATGTTCAAAAACATGATAAAGTTATGAGCTGCGACTACGATATGCTCAGTAAAAATGACTGCTCTTCTGGTCCCCAGTAAAAGTATAACTCTACTTAAATGTGTAGCATGTCTTTGTTGCAAAAATGCCTAGTAAATAAAAATAAATGTACAGAAAGTATGTTTTCAAATAATTAAATTTTTAGTGTGAAAAATTTCAGGAGTGCAGGCAGTACACAACTATGTTATTCAAGTAGACCAGCAACTTCAGCCTGAGAACCCTACATGTTACTCAAATGTCATCAAGAAGTTTTTCCTGTATTAAAAGAAATAACCCTTGGTGAATATAGCACAACAATGTAATACACTTAATGTCACTGAACTGTACACTTAAAAATGGTTAAGATGGTATCTTTTATGTTATGTTCATTTTACCTTAATTTTAAAAAATCTAATCTTGTTTTGAAACCCCACTAAAGAGGCAAGATTTTGTTAATGTTTGTCAGAATTACTTGCCTAGTAATAAAATCAGATTTCAAAAAATGCCTAAAAACTCTCCTCTATCATTAGGAAACATTCATCTCCATTAAAAGAGAAGGCATAATGGATGCTGAAAAGGATGCAACAGTTGTCAGAACATGAGGAATATTTTCTTTTTCTCTACTTCCACTACGTAAATCCTCATAACAGTAGGGCTTCAACAACAGCTTTGAAAGTGAACTTTCCTTTTACATTGCAAAGAATAATACAGCTTTCTATAAATGTGAAATGGTATTTCATGAGTTTTTTTTTTAATTTAATTCCTATCACAGCACTAAGAGTAAAACCTGCTACATGAATTTAAGGTTAGGTAAAATATATTTGATTTATCGAAATGTGCATTAACATTGGAGAATTAACAAATTTGTGAGAAATACACTTAGGAAAGGATTAATGAACTATAAAAGGATTGATGAACTATAAAACTGACTGCACAGCTAGAGATATTTAAAAACATTGCCCTTGTTGGCTATCATAGTCTCTTGACTGGAAGTTTATGAGGGCAGAGAACACATCCTTCTTGTTCACTACTACTTTTTTCATGCCTAAAACAGTACCTAGTATAGTAGGCACTACAAATTTTAAAATTATTTAGTGAATTCAAGGTAGAGTTAAAATGCAGAAAATTTCTTTGTAGACAATGGTTGAAAATTGACATGAATGAAGGCATTTTTCAATTAATAAACTATTTGAAATATTACCAATTGACCATTTAGATATCTAATCCATCACGGGTTCCACTATTCATCAAACACATGTTGAATGCTCTCTCCCAAATTCATCCAAATCTCACATATGGAATTTTATTCACAAGCCAATACTCTATGTTTCAAGAGACCAATATTGTCAACACTTAAGCACTAAACATCCAGTTCTGAATCGTTTTGTCTGTTGAACTATTGCTGAATTTTTCTCATGAAGTCTTGGCAAAAAAATTATATTTAATACATTTTCTTATATCTTTTTTAAGTGGAGGCATTAATATTAAAACATTTTATATATTTTAAGACTTCTGTTGGAAGAAAAACACCTAATTTGTTAATATATGTTATTTGAATTAATATTCTTCAAAATTAGAGCTGTTAGCACACAAACATTAAAATGAAGAATTATTAAATGGTGTTTCATGTAATCCTGATATAAGATTTAGAGATAAAACTCTGTAAATATTTGGAAGAACATAAAAGAGGCATCTATCACTTTTAAATGCATATCTTAGACTTTATTTATATTTAAGTTTTTTTATTTAGAAAAAGTAAAATATAAGCAGGAAAAGTGGAAAATAGTCTTCACATAATTAGCTAAAAGAGACAAAGCTTTGGAATGTCTTTTAAATCTATTTTAAAAGCTCAGCTACTTTTTTGTTTTTTTTCTATTACAGACCTAAGAAAAGTTATTTCAACTGAATTGCATACATAACTCCTAGAGTGTAGACAGTTGCTATTATTTGTTCACTTCATCAAATGCTCTTTTAAATTCTTGCTACATCTGTATTACCAGGTCCTAGAGAAACCAAGGTGAAAGAGGCCCAGGAGAGGCCAAACCCTCTTTGCTATTTCTAACAAAGGAAATGCCATTCTTGCCACTAACTCTTGGAATGATTTCCAAGTTCTCTGAAAGTAATTTAACCTGTGTCAAGTAGCTGTCTCATCTGGAAAACTCAATAAACGAATGTAGAAGTTAGAAAGAGTAGGGGAAAGTTAGGTGTCATAGTGAAATAGTTTATCCCAGGCATGTTGAATTGAGACTCCAAATTAGCCAGCATACTTCCACACATCTGCTCACTTTTCTTTAAACTTGAGCTATATTATTGCAGAAAAGCATAATAATCCCCACTCTGATCTTGTATTTCAAATGAAAGAGGCTAAAACATCATAGCACATGCGCCTTTCTAGATCGGTTAAATATTATGAGTGGATACATTTCCTTTGGAGATCAGCATTTTTACATTTAAAGGACAGATTAAACAGGGAGAAAAAGTAGAGGAGTAATATATAAAATATTTGTATCCAATGACAAGGATTCCAATTTTACATTAAACTTTAGCTTAAAGAGGACATGCCTATTAGATTATACTTCACTTAATAGTTGGATTCTTTAACATTTTGTGCAAATTATTTCTCGGCAGCCAAATCATACTTCACTGTACCTGAATAGTGGTTTACATGTAAAAACCTCAGGTAAATGCTTATGTACTGCCAAAGTGAACAGCAACCTTTATTTATTTGTTTAAAAAAGGTGAGGTCTTTGTACACTGTTTTCTTAATTTGAAGCAGTTTCAATGTGGCAGTTACAAAAAATAAAATTTTAAATTCTATTATATAAATTTTCAAGGAAACTATATTTCATAATTTTCCAGCTGTAGAATTAAGATTAATGTTTATTATATGTTGGTTTATGCATGAAATATTGCATATAATAATATTCAGGATATCTGCTAGTGTTCTTAAGCAGAACTGAGGTATTTTTAGGAGAGATCACTCTGCATTGCTTATCAAGATTTTTCAAGATAACCAAAAGTACAATGGAAATATTCTAGATTTTAAACATTTTCTCATTTTTATTTTTTAATATGAAAGACAACTTATAAAAATTTTTATACAGAAAAGGGGCTACAGTAAATTGCACTTGTTCATGCTGACTGGTATAAGAATGAAAATTCAATTTGTCTAAAGGGTCCTGGGATGGCACAAATACAGGTTCATGCTCTGACTTTGCTTTCCCGGTCCTACAATTTGTTTTAGTGTTGGGTGGAAAGGGGATGAAAGGAGATAATATATGAAACATCTGCCATTTGCCAAGAAACTTGTTTAACATTTTACATATGGTTTCTCACTTATAAAAAGTTAAGTAATATAAAATCAAAAAGAATAGTCAAAATAAATCCCTTATTTTTATTCCTATCAAATCTAGATTTTTCTCATCTGCCTGAATAGAAATACGGTCTCTACTGAGGAAGAAAAGCCTGATTTCTTTCTCTTTTCCCTGTTTGTAGCCATAATTTTTTAACAGTCATGAAATAAAGAAAATCCAGAGGGGGCTGGCAGCCCAAGAGAGAATGCTGCTTTTATTTACTTTATTCTCTTTGAAGGTTAGATGGTGATAGTTGAGAGAAACTACAACAATAGCAGGTAAAGAAAATGGGCAAACGTTCAGAATAAAGAATAGTTTTCAGCTGATTTGAAATAACAGATTATTAATGACTGATTTAAATGGTTAAAATGCACTGAAATGTAAATCTTTAATTCCAAATACTGGAGAAAAAAGGTAATTTATTTTATCTCATTTAAGACTAAACTAAATTAATAATCTCTTGGAGAAGCCAGGAGTGGTGGCTCACATGTGTAATCTCAGTGCTTTGGAAGGTTGAGGCAGGAGGATAATTTGAGGCCTGGAGTTCAAGGCCAGCCTGGGTGACATAGTGAGACCTTCGTTTCTACAAATTTTTTAAAATCAGATGGGCATGGTAGTGCATGTCTGTAGTTCCAGCTACTTGAGGGGGCTGAGGTGGGAGGATTCCTTGTGCCCAAGAGTCTGAGGTTGCAGTGAGCTAGGATCATGCCACTGCACCCAAGTCTGGGCAACAAAGGGAGACTCTATCCCTAAGAAAATAAAAAGTATACGCCGGGCGCGGTGGCTCACACCTGTAATCCCAGCACTTTGGGAGGCCGAGGCGGGTGGATCACGAGGTCAGGAGACTGAGCCCATCCTGGCTAACAAGGTGAAACCCCATCTCTACTAAAAATACAAAAAATTAGGCGAACATGGTGGCACGTGCCTGTAGTCCCAGCTACTTGGGAGGCTGAGGCAGGAGAATGGCGTTAACCGGGGAGGCGGAGCTCGCAGTGAGCCGAGATCCCGAGATCCCGCCACTGCACTCCAGCCTGGGCGACAGAGTGAGCTTCCGTCTCAAAAAAAAAAAATAAAATAAAATAAATAAAAAATAAAATAAAAAGTACAACATTTTTTGGAAAGTGATCTCATTAACTCCCTTATATCATTTAATAACATTAAGCTTGACATGGCTGGTCATTATAGGTAGCTATATCTCTGCTCTGTTAAAAGTGCTGAGATTTAGAAAGATAATCATTAAGATGAGAAACTGTACTGAATTGATAAAAGTATTTTTATAAATCCTTCAGTCAATTCTATCCTAAATCTGTTTTGATTTAAAAGCCACTCATACATCTTGTATAAATCAAATATTCAGTCATATAATTGTAATATTCTCTATTTTTATCCCAATAAAGCATGGGTAACATGAGAAACAACATTTCCAATCAAGAAAGTTTTGTTTGCTGATGTGAATTAACCAGTGGTCTGAAAAATTTAAGTGCTTATAAACTACTTGAGAGCAAAAATAAAATAGTATTTATTGCTGTATCTTTCTTGGCTTATCACAGTACTCATCTTAGGTTCATAAATGGCTATATAGTTGTCCTAAATGATGAACAATTTGAATCAAGATTACCACTGTGAATTAAAAGACTGATTACAAGTAGGTCCTGATTTATAGGAAATTTGTGTCCCCCAGAGTAGGCTAAGCCCTGGCCTCGGTCACTGCTACCCAGTTTTTTCCTTTCTGCTGGCCAGTGACGGAGAAAACACACTAAACATTTTGATGTTTCACTATGAAAGTGCACGTCATTAGGTGGCTAAAGTCTTTATAGTCTCCCACACCAAAGTCATGTTTGAAAAACAATACATTAGCAATCCAGAGCAGAGTTTGTTATGAAGAAGGATACTGAGAATAAATAGATGAAATTCTAGATATTTCTAAAGAGGATCCAGCTATTTCATGGCCACTGAAGTCTTCAGTGAATAGGTGTGAATATTTCAGTGTAGTCCAACCTGAACTGAAAAGCAGTTCTTCCATCCAAATTTAAATACCTTCTGTGCATATAAAAAAGGTCCACTTATTAGTCCAAACATTACTAAGATTGGGATCCTGAAATAACATTCTCTTATTATTGGCTATATTCTTCAGCAAAAAAACCACTGGGAAGGCTAGGCTAGAGAATGAGACTTGTGCTTGGAGATGACAAAGTTGAGACATCCTGTTATTTACCCCACAACAGGTCGGGATGGGCTGAAGATGGCTGAGTAAGTACATTTCTCTGTCAAAGTTAAAATGATAAACCGTGGATGAAAGTCTGCAAAATTCTATTCACCAATTGAAAAGCTGTTAGTATTTGGATATTGAGGATCATCTGAACCACTTTCCTCACAGGTTGGGTCCACTGTCTTAAAAAGGCAGGTGCAGCTCCCATTGAGAGGGCTGCAGTGAGCTATGTAACCACACTGACACTGGAGAGCACAGTTTGGTCCATACAGGCCTGGCCTGCATTCTATGAGGGAGAAAATTAAAGTAAAAGCAATTCAGATATGCTTTTCAAACACACAGTGTTCTTACTATTACTTCTTGGCATTCAATAAGATAATTATACGCTTGTGAAATATTCTTTTTTACCATGGGATATCTTCCCATGCTAGAATGCTATGTGATAAAAGTAAGAACATCAATGGAAAACAGGAGAAGGGTGGGAGTGTCAAGGAAGTTAGTGACAACACTGAAAAGAGAAGTCAGGACAGCAACTTACATTTTTAAGGTGCCTTCTCAGAATTAGAGACTTCAGTAGAGCTTTAGTGGTTGCATCGTGAAGGACACAGGGAAAGTTGGATAGTTGTCTTGAGGTCAGAAAAAGGCAACATCCATGCTGAACGCCCAATACAGGAGACTAACCTTTAGGATGAAAACACAATTATTTGTGCTTATGTTATTGAAAATGAAATGACTTTAATTTCAACTGTTTCATTTCTTAAAATATGTCAGAAGGTCCATAGATCCCCTGATCTATGTCCTACAGGACTCTATCTTTAAATTGAATTACACTGTGCTTGCAACAGAAAGAGAAATGATGGAAGATTATAGAAAGTGTTAGCTTAACCAAATGTTGACCAAAAAGGCCCGGCCTGGGTGTTTGCTCTTAGCCTGATTTCCAGTAGAGAATTAACAAGTTCTGTTTCTGAAGAATTATGAGGATAAGGAGAAAGCCCAGCCCAGCTCACGGAAACAGAAAATAGATTCATATTTCCTACTCGGTCAGGCAGGACTGGGAAGAAACTCAGTTTATCAATGTTTAAGGATCAGAGAAACTCAACTGTGCAATCATAACAGTCACCTACCCTTGTGGAGTTTACAAAGTGGGTCTCTAATACAGTATTTCTGTTGGTTCTAACACCTGTGAGGTGGGCAAGGCAGTGAGTTAGGCTCTTGCATTCCACAGAGAAATAAACCTTGGTTTGGTATGGCTTAAAAGATCTTCTCAATTACTATAATATATCTCTGATAAACAGCAGAGCTGGGTTTTAGAATTCTTACCTAGTGCTCTTTCCCCATTTTACACTACTATACGAGTGGATGCAAGGTATTAAACATATGCAGAAGAAAGCCCTAATAAAAAAGTAAAAAGCAGGAAAGTGAGAATTTGGGAAATGTCAGTGAATATGAAGATATAGGCTCTGGGGCAAATTCTGAAACTTTGGGCAAATTTTTGTTAAAAACTTCTTTATTGACTCACTATCCTTTATGCTGGGTTAGAGATGAGCAGTTGGATGTATATTTTTTTATTATTTTGCATTATGAACATAGGTTAAGATGTGGCCTAGCTCTCTTGCCTTAATTAACTAATTAGATTATAAATATAAGGCAAATAGAAACATAAACCAATTTTGCAATTAATTATTTTTACAAGGGTTCAACATTAGCAAACAGTAATTCAATCCCTTCCTAAATGACAGAGCAACAGTTTCCTTTAAGAAGAAGCTTTGGAGGCAGTGCAAATGCTGCTCTGAATCTTTAAACCATGAAACTTTGTGAAAAATTTTAAAAAATCCTATGTCATTTCAAATGAAGTTCAACCCAGACACCCCTGCCCAGTGTGTGGGAGGATTACTTAGTTTGGTGGCAAGATTGAGTGTTCTTATTAGAAAAAGAGTTGTGAGTCAGGATCTCTCCCGAGCACTCCAGAATCTGAGTTTAATTTATAAAAATACCACATTTTCATGTTAATAATGATGTATATTTAAGACATCTGTTTGAATGTCTGCAAATGTTAATTTACCAATGGGGTGGGAGAATAATGCAATAAAAGGTTGTTATATTCTTTTATGAATTAATATTATGGCTGTTTAATAGCACCTTTACCAGAGTTCAAGTTAAAATGAGATCTTTTATCTTTATGGTGCCTGCATAGACACAGCTGTTCACACTTAATATCACAGATGAACCGTGTTTAATTGAAAATAAAAATGAAAATAAAATACCTTGTAGGACATCTGTGTAGGCCATGACTTTATTTAGAAATAACCCTTCTTTTAGCAATGAAGCTTCAAGCCTTCTCTGTTGCAGATGAGAAAAGTAAACTCTGAGATTAAACCCTCTATTTTGGGTAATATCTGTGGCAGGGTCAGTCCTTCAGGTCTATTGTGAATTATATAAAACTCTTCATCTGATAAGCATCCATTAAGTCTAGTAGCAAGTGATTAGTTCAAAATTACTCAATCTACTCTCTCTTCTTCTTAAGACAGTCCCTGAAGAATTAGAACTTTATATTTTAGGTCATTATTTCTCTGAGTGAAAAGAAAAACGAAATACACATTTCAATTCCCAAAGAGTAGCTGGAAGCTTGGGTCTCAAGAATACTATCTGGACCACACCTTAATTGCCTTAATTCTCAGTGATTTCTATGAATCACCTTTGTGATGGGGCATTTAACTGTGTCCCTTTAAGTACTTAACACGTGTCCTCCGACAGCTGTAACGTTGTTTGAGCTGCCTGTGATGTAACAGCTACACACCCTGCTCATCTTACTAAGGGGAAAGTATCAAGCAATTCTGGGCAATGCTCTTTAATAGAGTACCACTTCTAGCAGGAAAATGTCTACAGATCTCTGTATAACGATGGGTCAGGGGGGAGTCCTGACGTGCTTTGGGTCCTACCAGCATCACATCTGGCTCCAGTTCTCCCACGGGGGCAGAGGCATTTTTCAGTTTTTGGGTGGCAGAAGGTTTCTCCTTCACAGTCACAAAGTTGATGGCAATCATCTCCAAACATGCCAGGTGAATACTGACCAAAAAAGGAGAAGTGCTGAAAAATTAACACCTTGCACTTTCATTAATGCATCTTAATGTTAAATATAAAATTTCCTCAAGATTGAGTTCCAAATAGTAAAGTGGGATGATACTGGAATTTGCTGGTCAAAAGAAGAGAGAAAAATTTTGGAATATCAGAACGAAGGTCCATTCTAAACTGATTTGACATGCAAGTCTTAAAGTTGATTTACTTTAACACTAGTATATATCCTTTAGAATGCAAATAAAATTTTTGAAGGTAGGAGCTTTAGGAAGGAAACCAAGTCTACAAGCCAAGCGTCTTATTTTTAATATTTCCCCTTAAAGTGTTTTTATTATTCATCTCTCTAGAAGACAATAAACTCCATGTTTTCCACTGTATTTCCAGAATTTAACTCAGGGCCTGCTGCTTGTCATGTGATAGTATACTAGAGTCAGGTTGGAATTTGTTCTTATTGCTACCACAGATACATAATGGGTGACATTTTATTGAATCACTAAATAATACATGAATAATGAAGGATGTACAAAAAGAGATGTGAGTCAGTATCTCTCCTGAGCACTCCAGAATCTGATTTTAATTTATAACCAATTACTTCTTCTGATGTTCAGCCAGAAAAATATTGATCTTCTCCAGTCTTGGAGGTAAAATCTCCAAGAGGTTTAAGTCCTCCATATTGGACTTACTAAGAGACAATTCTGTATTGTACTTGATTGGCCACCTAAGGAAATGTTTCAAAGATTAGATTTCACAGACTTTAAAACCTAACTTCCTTACAAGATATTTACCTACCATATATGCATCATATTCTTTTGCCCTCTTTCTTCCTTCTTCTCTTCCTCCTTCCTTTCTCTCACACCATCTCTGTCATTTACTCCCAGGACTTCAAATATCAAAAACTATATGATATCACCTTCCACAGATACTCTCTTATTTATTTAAATAATTTAATTTAAAAATCATTGTCACTAAATTTAGCCTGGATTTGAACACATTGCTTCTTTATGTCTTATTTATGATCGCGCCACTGCAGCCAGAAAAATATTGATATTTTTCTTTATAGTGACAACTGAGAACATAGTATGAGCTAACATATAAATCCTTTTTAAAGGCCACAGACAATAACTTTGACTACCATTATCATCATACTATAATTATAATGATCATGATTGTTGTAACTATAGACAAAAGACTATACATAATATAGGCCATAACAGGACTTTGTGTTGTTTACTGAGTTAGTGGCTTTTAGGGCTTTATAATATTTTGTTTCAAACTGAGTAGCCCAAATTCTCACCTTTATATCTTTATCTCCACTCATGGCCATGATTACTTTGTAGTGGTAAATGCCTAATTCACATCTTTAAATATTTTCATAAATTTCTTGTATCTCTTTTAATGCCATTGAACCCAATACATAGGTCACATTCGTTAAAAGCATTTAATGAAATATTTATTCTCATTCAGAGGTAGAATCCTCGTCCAACAAAGACTAACAGTTTTACTGGTGTTTTGAAATATCTCACAACTTTATATAAAGGAAAATAAAATTTTGACCAATCAGCCACAAAATCAGAAGGACTCATTATATTGGCCGTTGAGTGAATTTCTACCACTTTAATGTGCAGGTCGAATGTTTAAGTAATTATTGCATATTTTCAGTTTCTTTTACATGTTTGTCACCAGATGAGAAGATCTCATAGTCACACAGAATTCTCGCACTTGTGTCCTTAAAAATGCTCTGGCAATACTTTTTTCACATTGGCTGCCATGGACACCTGCTGGGCAAATGCACTGTTCACTTGCTGCATTACAACTAGCTCCATTTTTTGCAGTCACAGATGTGAGCACAATTCAAGCCATAAAATCCCGGAGGGTACACTGGGAAATGGAAATGTCAAAATACTATTACTTTAAAAATAAATAAAAGGCAAATTAGAATTTTATTTACATTAAAAGTAAATGAAAGGAAAATTAGAATATGTTCAATTCATTTGTTTCCCAATACCAAATAAAGAGATGAGCGAATTGGAAAGAAAGAAAAAATTGTATGGAGAAGCACATTGACAATAGTTTGATCATACAAATAAGTGAATATATAGGTGCCAGTTTCTATAATTAGTCTAGAAAAGTGAATGAGGAAATTGAAATAGCTTTAAGTAGATCATGCTTATGTCCTATGATGTGCACATAAACATTTGGCCAAAGCCTTTCCTAAAATCCTTCAATACCGGCTGGGCGCAGTGGCTCACGCCTGTAATCCCAGGACTTTGGGAGGCCAGGGAAGGTGGATCACGAGGTCAGGAGTTTGAGACTAGCCTGACCAACATGGTGAAACCCCATCTCTACTAAAAATACAAAAATTAGCTGGGCGTGGTGATGCATGTCTGTAATCCCACCTACTCAGGAGGCTGAGACAGGAGAATCGCTTGAACCCGAGAGGCAGAGGTTGCAGTGAGCCAAGATTGTGCCACTGCACCCCAGCCTGGGTGACATGTGACAGAGTGAGACTCCATCTCAAAAAATAAAAAAATGAAACAAAAAAAACAAAGAAAAAACAGAAAAAAATAAAGAAAAAAAATCCTTCAATACCTTAAAGACATAAAGAAGCAATGTGTTCAAATCCAGGCTAAATTTAGTGAGAATGATTTTTAAATTAAATTATTTAAATAAATAAGACAGTATCTGTGGAAGGTGATATCATATAATTTTTGATATTTGAAGTCCTGGGAGTAAATGACAGAGATGGGTGTGAGAGAAAGGAAGAAGGAAGAGAAGAAGGAAGAAAGAGATTAAAAGAATATGATGCACATACAGTAGGTAAATATCTTACAAGGAAGTTAGGTTTTGAAGTCTGTAAAATTTAACCTTTGAAACATTTCCTTAGGTGGCCAATCAAGTACAATACAGAATATGTAAGTCCAATATGGAAGACTTAAAACCTCTTGGAGGTTTGGCAAAAATATTAAACAATATATGCACAAAACTATTTATTGATACAAAATTTATAATACCAAAAGCTTAGAAAAGAATATTAATATGACCATGATCTGCTTCTAAATAATACCATAGAGGTACAGAGTGAGGGAGTGGCTGGAAGTATAGATGACACAAGATTAATCATAAATTGATTGATTATTGTTGAAGGTGAATGACAGATATATGGAGATTCATTATACCGTTATATCATTCTCTTAACTCTTGTATGTGTTTGAAATGTTACATAATAAAAACTTTAAATGATAGAATCAATGGTAAAAATATCCCACATACTAAATGCCAGAAAATTACTCAACTTACAATCAAAAAGAGCATGGACATGATAGTACTGTCTGTTTTTAAAAAGCTGATTTTGTAATCTCAAATCACAAAACTGATAAGAGCCATCTCCCATGAATTAGGCAGGATATCCATCTTTTCAAAATCCCATGAAAAATGGCCTTGAATCTTAGATTTGGAAGGACTGTCAGGTATTATTCAGCTCAATACCCTCATTTTCAGATGGGAAAATTAAATCAGAAAGAGGATGTGAACTGCCCAAAGATAGACCACATGGTATTAGCAGAGCTAGGGTTAGCATTCATGTTTATCCATGCCCATTGCAATGTGGTTTCTTCTATAACATGTTGTTGAATTTCATGACAGTTGAACGAGTAGTGACGGAGAGTAGATAATCACACTCATTTTCACTAAGTCGGAAGAGTCACACCACCCGCAGTTGAAACCATCTGGGTAAACGTACATTGTGAATTTTTTTCTGCTCTGAGTGCCTCAAGTTTAGGCCTCCAGCACAATGTTCTCATCCACACTTTGCCAGAACCTTTGCTCTGTAATCTGCCAAAATACAATGTCTCCTACAATAGTGCGCTCTAAATAAAGTTGGTGCTTTCCAGTGTTGTACAAAATAACAAATTGTGGTTCAGGAAAACAAACATTAGAACAACTATCAATATTCATTTTATCCATGTTTATCAATTTAAGCATTTATCTACATTTTATAATATACTTATTAGTCAAGACGTGCAAGAATGTCATTTATAAATAAAAATGCATGTATAGTGGTATAGCAGGCCCCCCATCCATGGAGAATACATTCCAAGACTCCCAGTGGATGTCTGAAAGCTCAGATAGCATTGAACCCTATATACACTACGTTTTCCACTATACATGCATAACAATAATAAAGTTTAATTCATAAGTTAGGCATAATAAGGCATTCACAGTAACTAATAAAAAAATTACATCAATGTACTTAGAGTTCTGCCAATCTTACAAAAATCTTACTGTACTGTACCGCAGGTAAACCACAGGCAAAGGGGGACTACTGTACTGATTAAATTTTTCCTGATGAAACAAATTTTGGAGACTTTTGGGTGGTCCTCTTCCCTCTTTGCAGCTGTGCCTATTCTTATTCATGTGATCTGGCTTCTCCCAGAGCCCTGTATCCTCCGCCTTGCCTGCCTGAAAGCCTCAGAGGTGGTGGAGATTCTTCAGCTTCATGCCTAGAAACTCAAGACTTAGTAGATTTGGTGTCCACAAAGCCTTTCTTTAGGCTTAAAAAGTGGCTGGTAGGGGAGTTAAGTTTAGGTCTCAGAGGAGCTCTTTCACATTAATACTATTTCAATTACTTAAGGAGTTTAGGAGTTTTCATGTGATATTTCAGTAACAATATCAATCATATTTACATAACAATTTTATTGGATATTCAATTATAGTTCTAAACAACTTGAATTAGCTTACTGGAAAATAGCTTCTTCACAAGTTTCTGCTGTATTTTATCAACCAATGACAGTATTCTCAAAAGTAGATCCTTTTTTTATTTTTGAGACGGAGTCTTGCTCTGTTGGCAGGCTGGAGTGTAGGGGCGCAATGTTAGCTCACGGCAACCTCCGCCTCCAGGGTTCAAGCAATTCTCCTGCCTCAGCCTCCAGAATAGCTGGGACTACAGGCGCCCGCCACCATGCCCAGCTAATTTTTGTATTTTTAGTAGAGACGAGGTTTCACCATATTGGCCAGGTTGGTCTCGATCTCTTGACCTCATGATCTGCCCACCTCAATCTTCCAAAGTGCTGGGATTACAGGTGTGAGCCACTGCGTCCGGCCTAAAGTAGATCTTTATTGAGGGAAAAAAGGCAGTGAATCAACTTGCTTTTTTCACAATAATTTCCTGTCCACCCAAGGCCACAGATAGACCTTCTATCTGCAGAATTGCAAAGGCCACCATTTTTACAAGTACATTTTAGCTGATAATTGAGGCCATGTCTTATCTGGGGACAACCTGTAATAAAATTTTGTAAAAATAAAATAACACAACACTTTTCTCTTCCTTTCTTTCTTCCTTCCTTCCTTCCGTTCTTTCTCTCTTTCTCTTTTTTTTTTTAAAGGAGTCTTGCTCTGTCACCTAGGCTGGAATGCAGTGGTATGATCTTGGCTCACTGCAACCTCTGCCTCCCAGGTTCAAGCAATTCTCCTGCCTCAGCCTCCTGAGTAGCTGGTACTACAGGTGCATGCCACCACACCTGGCTAATTTTTGTATTCTTAGTAGAGACAGTGTTTCACCTTGTTGGTCAGGCTGGTCTCAAACTCCTGACCTCAGGTGATCCACCCACCTTGACCTCCCAAAGTGCTGGGATTACAGGCGTAAGCCATGGTGCTCAGCCGGAAAAACAACATTTTTCTCTACTTCAGATACAGTAACTGTATCTAGATAGCAAAAGCTTAATAAATGTTAAAATTAAAACAAAGAACTACTCACATGTTATCTGTAAGGTAGCAAATATATCACTTTCATTCATTCATTTTTTTCATTCACTCCATGAATATTGATTAATACTGTGTGTTTGGTATACTGGGACCTGCAGAGACCCTTGTGAAGAAGGAGCAGTCAATCCTGGATGACTAGGGATAAGATTTTATATATTTAGTTTCATAACTGATAAAGAAGAAAAATGAGCAGTTTGTTTTCAAGTTACTGAAATGGTAAAAGTATTTCAACTTACAGAGGTGGGTGACACAAACTAAAATGCACTATCAAGAGGAATTAAGACACAAGTGGCCTGGGGGTGGTGGCTCATGCCTGTAATCCCAGCACTTTGGGAGGCCAGGACAGGTGGATCACAAGGTCAAGAGATCAAGACCATCCTGGCCAACATGGTGAAACCCCATCTCTACTAAAAATACAAAAATTAGTTGGGCATGGTGGCGGGCGCCTGTAGTACCAGCTATTCCAGAGGCTGAGGCAGGAGAATCCAGAGGCTGAGGCAGGAGAATCCGGAAGCTGAGGCAGGAGAATCACTTGAACCCGGGAGGCGGAGGTTGCAGTGAGCCATGATGGTACCACTGCACTCCAGCCTGTCGACAGAGAGAGACTCCGTCTCAAAAAAAAAAAAAAAAAAAAAAAAAAGGACACAAGTGAACGAAACTAACCAGACAAGGAAAACGGAGCCTCTCTTTCTTCAGTGTCACGGAAAAGATAATTGAATGATGAGAAGTGCAACCGATGGGAGTGCAAAGCCCCTCCAAGGTGAGAATCAGACTTGCATTTTGTTGCTTTTGCTATGAAGAACGCAAACCCAATACTGCCAGCTAATATGACTTTTTAAGGAAAACTCAAAAGTTCATATTTTATGTGAAATTAACAAATCTTTGAAAGTTGACCACTAATTAAAATTGTTTTACAGCGCTGCTAAAAGCCAAAACTATGACAGCCAATTCAAACATATTTGTGGCTACATTTGGCCAACAGCCTGCCATTTATGACCTGAAGTTTATAGTATTTTTACATAATAATATTTTCCACATGGATTATCTCATTTAATACTAAAAAATACTCCTGTGATGTGGGTAGCAGTATTCTTATTTTACTCTTGAGAAAATTGAAGCTCTGAGTCTAAAGTCTTGCTCAAACTTAAACAGCCTATAAGGATAAGAACTAAGAGTCAAATCTAGACTATCTGACTTCCAATCAAATTATTTCTATTCCAACTAGCAGAAGCAAACTAGAGTAATTTTTAAAATTCCAGCTAGCAGAATAAACATTAGAGAAATTTTTATATTCCAGCAAGTAGGAAAAAAAGAGTTAGAGAGACTTTTTTTTTTTAACTTGCCCAAAGGCATTGGTTAATACATAGCAGAACAGGTACATGAATTCAATCTGCATGATACTTTCTTTATTGCTTTTATTTGAGCAACTAGCTGCACTGAATTCCAGTACCAAATGAAAAAAATTTTTTGATTTTGTTACTTAAATAACAGTTATAGTTGTACAATTAATGGTTGAATCATCATTATACGTGCAATAGACTACCTTTAATTAAATCCATTTTACCTTTTGCATATAGGGCAAATTAAGCAGAATCAATATCAGGTGTTATTAAAATAAACTTTTGCCTGTTTTCCTTCTACGCTCCTAAAACAACCCTGTCCTCATCAGCCAGGAGACCCATTCATCTACCAGCCTATATGTTGAAATGGATTGATGAAATCAATGAATCTGTGAAAATACAGGACTTCTACTAAGCCAAGATAAGATTTAAAACATAATTGGGGAAAAAAAGCATAATTGAAAAAGTAAGAAAAACTCAGAAATATTTACTTCTACAGGTCTAGGTCTTATGACAATATTGACACAGAATTGTGTAAATGACTTTATGGCCTTTTTAAACTTTATGTAATCACATGTTAATTATTTCAAACAATATACAAAAATATATTATGAAAATATTCCATTCCTGTGTTCCAGTATTCTCAGTTCTTTTCTTAAAAACATCATCAAAAACGTCATAATTACCAGCTATTTTCTGTATCACAGGCTTCACTTCTTTCAATAAGACTTACCTTGAGTACTCTAAATTTTCAACACACCCTGCGCTCTCCAGCCTTATTTCATGCTCTTTTTTCTCTTACCACAGATTTTACTCCCTCTAGAGTACACACACACACACACACACACACACACACACACACGTTACTCTTAAGAACATTGAAGCTCAGAGTCTCAAGTCTCGCTCAGACTTAAGCAGCCTGTAAGGATAAGAATATATATATGTTAGAGGGGTATAAATAACATATATAAATTTATTAATTCCCTTATTATTTATATTTATTATTATCTCTCTCACTAGAAAGCAAGTTGCATGAGCACTTGTATAGTCTGTATTTTAACCATACACTTTATATGCTTAAAACAGGCATTGTCATTCAATAAATATTTTTTGAATTAAGTGGATAAATGGCTGGATATATCCAGAAATAGCCTATGGCTAGTAAAGCATAATATGTCTATCTCCTGTATCCCTTAATGCTTTTCTACCCAAAGGTTAATATGTGTGTATGTGTGAGTGTGTCTATATATATATATAAAATATATAATATATGATATATAATATATTATATAATACATTATATATAATAAATAATATTGTAAATGTTGCTTTCTTTTACATAAAATTTCCCAAGATTTTTCCAAATTAGTAAATATAGATTAACAATGTACTAAATTAGTACATGTATATAAAATTAGTATAGTACATAAATTAGTACACAAAGTATTTAAATAATTTTTCCAAATTACTACATTAGTACATATATGCCTCATTCTTTTTTAACAGCTACATAGGAATTTATTGTGCTTTGCAAAATTTATTTTGGCACTCCAGATTGTTTAAAATAATTTGCTACTACAAACAATGCTGTAATGAACATCATTATGTAAGTCTTCATTCTTATGATATGATAATATAGTATAATATCACAATATAGTACCTATAGAGTAAATTCTTCAAATAAAATATGTGCTTTTTAAGTAGTAATGAACACTATCAAATTTCCCTACAAAGAGATTTTCCAATTTACTAAGGATTATCAATGTGCCCATTTTTCAATCTTTAGCCAATATGGCATGCCATGATTATCTGATAGGTGAAGATGGTACAAAGTGCAACTTAAATTTGGATTTGTCACACTATAAATGATGCTTATCATCTTTTATAAGATCCACCGGGTGTTGTACAGCCTTTTCTTATTGATATATGAAAGAAATCTCTTTGCTTATTAAGAAAATTAGCCCAGATACAGTGGCTCACACTTGTAATCTCAGCACTTCGTAAGGCCGAAGTAGGAAGATTGCTTGAGCCCAGGACTTGAGATCAGCCTGGGAAATATAGTGAGACTTTGTCTTCATGAGAAATAAAAAAATTAGCTGGGCATGGTGGTACGTGCACATAGTCCCAGCTACTCAGGAGACTGAGGTGAGAGGATCGCTTGGACCCAGGAGTGAGAGACTGCAGTGAGATATGATAGCATCACTTCATTCCAGCCTGGGTAATAGAATGACACCCTGTTTCAAAAAAATAAAAACAACAAAAAAAACCCCCCACAGATCTTAAAACTTAATCTCCCATTCCAGCAGGTGTAGCTTAAAAAAAAAGAAAAGTAAAAGAAATAAAAGAAAATTAGTGCGCTTTGTTGGTCTTTCTTCATCCAGCTTATTTATACATTGCTTTTCTGTGTGTTTTATACCTTGAATAAATTTTTGATTTTCTTTAAGTCAAAAAGACCATGGGTTTCTTTTCTAAAAAATGAGTTCTGAGTTTTTGTCATGGCCATACAAAATAATGTTTTAATCCCCATGTTAATTTTGGTACTTGCATAATTTTCGTGATTATCTTTAAATACTTTATGCACCTGGAAGTAATTTGGATGAACAAAATAATGTAGGAATACAATTTTATCTTTTTCTAGATTGCTGTAATTTCTCTTAATGGAACTAATAAGGTCAGTCATATTTTACCTTTTTTTTTAGTAATTCCTCATTTCAAGTTTATTTTATTGTTTTTATTGTTCTTTATTTTCATCCCTTCTTATTACTAAATATTTACATAAATATTTTGGAAGATAAATTCAGTCTTTCATCACTAATTATAATACCATAGGCTTTATGTAAATGCAAATTATCAAGCTGAGAACATTCCCTTTATTTTTAGTTTTCTGCGTTCTTTAAAATCATGAATAATATTGAATTTTGTCAAATGCTCTTTCTGCATCAATTGGTATGATACTCCTAAATTTGATCTTTAGTCCATTAATATGGTAAAATTGATTTTCAAACATTGAACCAGCCTCACATCCCTAGAACGAAGCACACTTGGTGGTGTATAATTAATTTTTAAACTCTTGAATTATATTTTCTAATATTTTTTTAAACATTTTTGCTATGTTCATGAAAGACATTATTTGGTAGTTTCTGTTTTTGGTAATATTTTTGGTTTTGGTATCAGAATAAAATGAATTGGATTCCTTTTTCTTATATTTTAGTAAGAGATTGTGTAGAATGTTAATTCATCTTAACATTTTATAGAATTCTCCAGTCAAATCATCTGGAACTGGAAAATTCTAATTTATATTTACAGGACTATTCAAATTATCTATTTCATATTGGATTAGTTATTCTTTGTGCTCTTCAAGGAACGAGTTCCTTCTATCTAATTTGTCAAATTTATATGTGTAGAACTATTTATAGTATACCCTTATTATTCATTTCATGCCAGCAGTGTCTATAATGATATCCCCTGTGATACGGTTTGGCTCTATGTCCCCACTGAAATCTCATCTTGAATTGCAATCCCCACAATTTGAGGGAGGGACCTAGTTAGTGGGAAGTGACTGTATCATGAGGATAGTTTCCTCATGCTGTTCTCATGATAGTGAGTGAGATCTCATGAGATCTGATGGTTTAAAAGCTTTTGGCAGTTCCCCCAGCTCGCTCGCTCACTCTCTCCTGTTGCCATGTGAGGAAGGTCCTTGCTTCCCCTTCGCCTTCCACCATGATTGTAAGTTTCCTGAGTCCTCCACAGCCATGTAGAACTATGAGTCAATTAAACCTCTCTTCTTCATAAATTACCCAGTCTCAGGTAATTCTTTATAGCAGTGTAAAAATGGACTAACGCAGGAGATTGGTACTGGCAGAGTGGGGCACTGCTATAAAGATACATGAAAACATGGAAATGACTTTGGAACTGCGTAACGAGGAGAAGCTGGAACAATTTAGAGGACTCAGAAGAAGAGGAAGATGTGGGAAAGTTTGGAACTTCCTAGAGACTTGTTGACTGGTTTTGACCAAAATGCTGATAGTGTTATGGACAATGAAGTCCAGGCTGAGTGGTCTGAGATGGAGATGAGGAACTTATTGGGAATTGGAGCAAAGGTTACTCTTGCTATGTTTTAGCAAAGAGACTCGTGGCATTTTGACCCAGCCCTAAAGATCTATGGAACTTTGAACTTGAGAGAGATAATTTAGGGTATCTGGCAGAGAAAATTTCTAAGCAGTGAAGCATTCAATATGTGACCTGGCTTTTTCTGAATGGATACGGTCATATGCACTCACAAGAGATGGTCTGAAATTGGAACTTATGTTTAAAAGGGAAGCAGACTGTAAAAGCTTGGAAAATTTGCAGCCTGACCATGTGGTAGAAAAGAAAAATCAATTTTCTGTAAAGAAATTCAAGCCAGCTGGAGAAATTTACACAAATAATGAGGAGCTGGATGTTAATAGCCAAGACAAAGGGGAAAATGTCTCCAGGGCATTTCAGAAATCTTCATGGCAACACCTCCCATCACAGGCCTGGAGGCTTAGGAGGGAATAATGGTTTCATGGGCTAAGACCAAGGCCTTGCTGCTCTGTGGAGCCTTGAAACATAACACCCTGAATCCCAGCCACTCCAGGTCCAGGAATGGATAAAAGGGGGCCAATGTACAGCTCAGGCCATTGCTTCAGAGGGTGCAAGCCCCAAGCCTTGGCAGCTTCCATGTGGTGTTGGGCCTGTGGGTGCACAGAAGACAAAAGTTCAGCTTTGGGAGCCTTCGCATAGACTTCAGAGGATGTATGAAAACACCTGGATGTCCGACAGAAGTCTACTGCAGGGGAGGAGCCAGCATTTCCTTTTATATAGATTTTTTTGGTACTCCTTTAGGTATTATGTTATACACACCTGACTTATAGTCTACGGAGTCAATATTTTACCAGCTTGAATGATGTGTGGCAACCTAACCTCCTTTCTGTCCTTTTACTCTCCTCATTTATAATAAATTGTCAAATATTTTTTCTATATACATTGAGAACTACATTGGTGTCATAGTTTTTCTTCATCTGCCAAGTATAATCTAGAAAACTCAAGAGGAAAAGAAAAATAGTTTGCATTGCTATATTTTTACTCTTTGCTTTATGCATTCTAATTTTCCTGCTGTTCCAAGATTCTTTGTCATTTTCTTTTGGTTTCCAGAAGTTTCTTTAGCCATTCCTTTAGGTTAAGTCTGCTAGCAACAAATGCTCTGTTTTCCTTCATCTGAGAATTTTTTAAAATCTCCTTTCCATTCTTGAAGGATTCTTTTCCTGGAAATATGATTCTGGTTTGATAGGGTTTTGTTTTTTTTTTAGCACTTCAGATATGTTACACCCCTTCCATGACTTTTGATGAGAACGCTGCTGTCATTCTATCATTCTATTAGTATTTCTTCTATAGCTAAGGTGTTGTTGTTTCTCTCTCAACACCTATCTACAAAAGAAATATCAATATCAAGCTTCTGAAAATGAAATATATATTAATGTATTTGATATATAAAATATGTATTAATTATTCATATTAAAATGAATATAGTTTATTCAATATTTATTAATTGAATTAAAATATAGATTATATTTAATATATCAATTGATTGAATACATTATTTAACATATATTTATATATTAGTTAAATCAGTATATAATTTTCAGAAGTTTGATGTTGATATGACTTTTGTAAATTTCTTTGAGTTTATCTTGTTTGGCATTAACACAGCTTCTTCAATATGTAGGTTTATGTTTATTGTCACATTCAGAAAATTTTCAGCCATTATTCCTTTAAATATTTTTTCATTTCCACCCTCTTTTTCCTCTTCTGGGACTCAGATGACATAATGGTAGATATTTTCTTATAGTACTACAGGTCTCTGAGGCTGTGTGTGTGTGTTTGTTGGTTGCTATTTTTTTCTCTCTTTGTTGTTCAGGTTGGGTAATTTCCATCATTCCTTCAAGTTCATTGGTTTGTTCCTCTGTCCACTTCATTCTGCTGTTGAACTCATCCATTGAGCTTTTTATTTTGGTAATTTTATTTTCCAGTTCTAAAATTTCCATTTGGTTCTTCTTAAGGTCTTTTATTCTTTGCTGAGCCTTTTAATTTTTTATTTGTCTTAATTATATCTGTAGTTACTCATTGAGGTATTTTTATGATAAATGCTTTAAAATTCTTGTCAGATAAATTTAACATTAGTGTCCTCTCTGTGTTGGCATCTGTTGATTGTCTCCTTTTCCTTAAGTTGAAATTCTCCAAGTTGTTGGTTGATGAATTTTTAAAAATTGAAACCTGGAAATTTTGAATATTATGATACCAGAACATGGATCTCATTTAAATTTTCCATTTTAGCAGTCTCCTCCTCCTATATTACACTGGTGAGAATAAGGGTTCACCAGGTAGAAGTTCAAGTTCCCTACATGGTCACCAAGTAGGAGACTGGATAAATGGGGCTGTTTCCTGCTGGGGCAGGATGGGAATTCAGCTCATCACTAGGCCTCTGCTAATACCAATGTCACTGATAGGATTAGAGGTGCATCCTATGGCTCCCACCTGATCTCCACTGACACTACATTCATTACTGCTTGGTGGTTGTGGGAATTCTGACTCTCTACTAGACCTCCTCTGATACCACCCAGAAGGGAGGAGCGATGTCTCCTTGCTATCTGGTGGAGGTGAAAGTCCACACTCTTCACATCACATGGTCACCATGGACACTGCATAGTTAGAGGGCTTGTTACTATCTGGTAGAGATGAAGTCCAAACTCCCCACAATGCCTTCTCTTACACAATCCTGGTGTGTGGGGTAGAGAGGGGTACCTTCTCATATCAGGATGGGGTTTGAAGTGCACACTCCTCATTTGGCCCTTGCTCATGGGATTGGGATTGAGGACACAGTTTCATTTTGTAGTGTTTGCCTGAAGAAGACCAGTTATTTTCTAAAAGTTTTCTGTATCGCTAGACTGCCCCCTTTCCTGTCCTTTGACTAGAGAAATCAATTGTATCTTAGACCTTTGTCTGCACCCATTGGCCTACCTGGGTTGCAGGTTTCTCCAGCACTCAGTCTGGGATATATGAGACAAAAAACAAAACAAAACAAAACCAGGGAACTCACCATCATGTTGTTTCCTAGATTTCTAAGTTTCTTATCCAATCTGCCTTCTTTTCTTCATATTTCAGAGACTTATGTTTGTTTTCTACATTGTGTGGAATGTTTACTATGTTGAAAGAGAGCAATAGGAAAAGGTATGTGCACTCCATCGTTCTCTACATGGGCCTTATAAATATACTCTTACATAATTTAGGGAACTTTGTTTAGATAGTGCAGACATTATATAATATAGTAAACTTCTTTATTTAGTACATGGTAACTCAGTATAAATGGTAATGAAATTAATATGATTCTGCTTTCTCTTATTTTTTTTTCATTTCGCTCCTCCATCTGATTTTAGTTGGGTGTATTTTTATTCTTAACATCTCAATTGAAGCATTCTAAATTCTAGAATGTACCTTTATACACTTAAACACACTTATTGAATTGTTATATTTAAATAATATGTTTTGACACAGATCTCTCCCATGTACCCCACAAACTTGAATGAGGAAATAAGACCAGTATACCTATACTCCTTTGCCTTCTCTGTCTTTCCAGTTTATGCCTTGTTAGCACTATGTTAAAATCTCTACAATTGTTATAATTTATAATATTTATCTTCTATCATGTAGCCATAATTCCCACAATTGTTTTAAACTTAGCCTTAATTAAGATGAATGCAATGTTTACTAATAGTCTTTTTATCAGATATTTCCCATTTATTATTTGGCTGCTTCAATTTATCTCGCAATTGTTTCTTTAAAATATTTTAAGGCTACTATATTTCCAGCAACTTTTTAAAAAGTGGTTAATTTGCCACCATGTTATATTTGGATAACAGCTAATGGTGTATAAAATACATGTCACATTTTTTCCTCACAAACTTAATAAGCATTGATTAGCCATATGTTGGCAATGAATATTGCTGTGAGGTAAAAAGTCAGACTGATTTTTCTCACTCTTAAGTAAGCTCATATTTTTTCCTTATATCCTCAATGGAGTTTCCCCTTGCTTTTGAGCCACTGTAACTATTATTTCCCGAGATAAAATATATTCATTCAATATGTAGCATCAGATCTTTTATTTCAAAGGAAAAATCTTGAATATTATATCTGAACATTTTCCTCTTCCAAGTATACATTTCTTTCTCATTTCTTTTCCATTTCATTATTTTTATTTTCCTCGTTTTTTTTTTTTTTTTTTTATCCTGGCTGTACTATCAGCAGATTCTGTCCTTCCTTTACCTGCTCCCAATGTGGCCTTCATTTATATGATGTGAGGTTCAATTTTCATTTCCACTTCTTTTTTGAGCTCTGCCAGCTTACTTTTTCATTTCCTTTTGTTGTCTTTTCATTTATTCCATGAACCCCTGTATCTCTGCATTGCACTCACATTTTATAGAGAACACTTTTTCATTACATCCTTTGAATTCTTGGAAGAGATTCTGGTTAATATCTTCATGTGCTCCATAGCAAAACTTTTCTGCTGTTGTTTCATCTGCCTTTTCTTTTTCATATTCCTTTATTCCTTTTTCCTTCTTACAGAATTTGCACTAAAACAGCAAGGGAAGCTTTGAACAGTTTCATTTTTTGTTTGTAAAATGAGAGAAGTATTTTTTTGTACAAGCTTCATTTTTTAATGCACCACATATTTCTGGAAGGATAGTGTCTATTTAGGGTTAGAAAAATGATCTCAGCTAGAAGAAAGCCTTCTTCGTCCAGAGTGCAGCTCCATATAACACAAGGTGTGGGATGTATGTATGTGTATGTGTGTGTGTGTGTGTGTGTGAGATATTTGTGTGTGTTGAGCTTCTCTTCAGTTGCAAGGCTGCTAAACTACCCCACAGATTCCCTTCTGTCCTAGTGCAGAGTTAAAAACATGGTATGTCTGTATAATTCTTGTTTTGTTTTGTTTTGTTTTTGCCCAGTTTTCCTCCACTCTAAGATGTTCAGTGGGATTCAGAGAAGTTTCAATAGCCCTCCTATTCACCCAATCTTTATTTTTCAGGAAAGTGTCCTTAGTTTTGCTCTGTGTGTGTGCCATGGAGAAGTGGCTGCTCTGCTGGCCCTACTTAAGATCTATAGGGGCCCAGTATTCTCCCGAAAAATCCCTGTTTTCTGAAACTTGACAGCTCTTCTCTCCTTATGATAGTAATAATAAATACTACAATTAGGATAAGAAAATTTTGCAGTTTTCAACAAAGATTATGTTTTTCTCCTTGTCTCCCATTTTTCTTATAGATTTCAGGGGGCCTCTTCAGGTTCAACCTTCTGATTGAAGGGGATATAAAATTCTGTAGTTCTTATAATTAGACTTCTCCAACACACAATTTTTGGCAGTTTTATAAAAGTTAACAAATGTTATCTGAAAATTTCTTCCCAGTCAAGAGCATGCATAAGTTATTCTTTACTTTTGTTTCCAATTTGTGCTTATCTTCCAGCACTATTTTCTATATAGTGCTATGAGAGCATGTCCTTTTTTTTTTTTTTTTTTTTTTTTTTTGTGATTGAGTCTTGCTCTGTCGCCCAGGCTGCAGTGCAGTGGGGCGATCCCAGCTCACTGCAAGCTCCGTCTCCCGGGTTCACGCCATTCTCCTGCCTCAGCCTACTGAGTAGTTGGGACTACTGGCACCCGCCACCACGCCCCAATAATTTTTTATATTTTTAGTAGAGGCGGGGTTTCACTGTCTTAGCCAGGATGGTCTCGATCTCCTGACCTCGTGATCCGCCCTCCTCGGCCTCCCAAAGTGCTGGGATTACAGGCGTGAGTCACCGCGCCCGGCTCGGGAGCATGTACTTTCATGTTATTTGAAAGCCACACTAACAGAAAACATTCTTGTAAATATTGTCCATATAATTATCTTCGTTGGCACCAAATCTGCTTTCGCAGCATAGCTAATTTAGTGCTTGGACAGAGAAGGTGACCCTGCCCATTGTTACCTTCCTGACACCTGGTTCCCATTCGGCCAGGTGGACACTGACACACTCCAGTCACTGGGTCACACTGTCCTGAGCCACAGGAACGCCATTGAACACAGTTCTGCCCATAGTGATCTTCAGGACAAGCTGCAAGTAAGAGCAAAATAAAACAGAGCAAAACAAAACCAGATTTTTCTTATTAAACATTTTGCCAGACAAGATTTTTTAAAACTTGTGAAATACATGACATTTTCATTTAATCAAATAGGTTTTACTGACTTGCTTTTAGTTTGATTTTCAATGTGAAAAGTTACTTAGAAATAAACAAAGAAAAACAAGGGACTGTTTAAATTGTTGCTTACATAGAGCCATTTTAGTTGGCGTTAGGAATTTTCAACTAAATATCTAGTGTCAAAAACTTACATATAATATAAATGTCTCTTACAAATTAAGGACCTCAACTGTTCCCAATTTGGATTGTTTTGCTTTGCCATGTGTCTCTGTCTTAGCAAGTGTAAGAGTGTGTGCGTGTGTGTGTGTGTCTCTCTATATATGTATGCATATGTATATATTACACACATATGCATGTGTATGTATATTACATATATTATGTTATATAGTATATGTAGGTATATCATGTGTACATATATGTTATATAACACATGTAGGAATATTATGTGTACATATATTATGTTATATATGTATGTATAATATATACAACAAATATATATTTATAATATTCTTGAGTATGTTCTCTTAAAGCCCATTCTAGAATTTTAGCTAAAGTTCCTATATATAAATATAAGATTCATTATGCTCATATCTTCAAATATTCATTTATATATTTGTATTTATTAATTTGTTTGGTGGTTTTTTGCAACTTCATTCCACAAATTCATTCAGATGCTTACCAAAATATATATAAATACACAAAGACAAAATAAATATCTGTTGAGAATCACATAAAGGGAAAATGTGGTAATAATATAAAATAAATATCATATTTTTTGGAACATTTAAGAGGTGGGTTGCAAATTTGGCTCTACCCTACTAAGCTGTCAAAGCAAATGGAAAGTGCTCAGGTACAAGATCACAACTTTCTTAAGACCAAAGTACCCGCAATGTTCAGAGAAACCACAGCTTTGAAAATGCTTTGGCAGAAGGACATTTCTTCCACTTACTCTCTTTGAAGAATAAATACAAAGGAACCAGACAGAACCTTGCTTAAGAACTGTTTATAGGTTGGCCTTTATAGGTTGGCCTTAATTGAAAGATAACTTGCCAATTGAGGCCTCAGGAGGCACTATCCACTAGGTGTCAGTTGTCTGCTACCTGGAGCCAGGTTTTGTCTTGTCTTTTATTCTCAATACAGCAGAGCACTGAGGCCTGCAGGGCACTTTAACAGAAAAATTACCCTCCTCCAAAGCAGACAAAGCAACTGACTGACCAGGAAACATAAGCATTTTGGGTGTCTTTAACACATAACAGTGTAGTACCCTGTCTAGTGACAAATTTAGCTATCCTTCATCCAAATGAAGGAATCTCAAATGAAGGTATTTCACAATCTAGTTTACTTATGTTGAGGTGTGTGTTAAGGCAGTACTTCCATCTTTATTTTAAGATCTGTTGGAGGTACTTTTTTTTTTTTTTTTGAGACGGAGTCTCGCTGTGTTGCCCAGGCTGGAGTGCAGTGGCGCGATCTCGGCTCACTACAAGTTCCACCACCCAGGTTCATGCCATTCTTCTGCCTCAGCCTCCCGAGTAGCTGGAACTACAGGTGCCCGCCACCACGCCTGGCTAAATTTTGTATTTTTAGTAGAGACAGGGTTTCACCATGTTAGCCAGGATGGTTTCGATCTCCTGACCTCGTGATCTGCCTGCCTCGGCCTCCCAAAGTGCTGGGATTACAGGCGTGAGCCACAGCGTCCGGCCTATTGGAGGTACTTTTTTAATTAATAAGATTACAGAATAAAGCACAAAAACACAAATGTGCAGTTCAATGGATGATGACAAAGTGAACATCCTCATTCGTAACACCCATGTCAAAAATACAGTATTGCCAGAACTGACTTCCCCACAATGCACTCTCCTGCTCATTGCCTCTTTTATCCTCCCTAGAAATTATCATAATCGTGGCTTCATATGTGAGTGTTTCATTCTGACTAACTGTCACCTGAAGGGTCAGAGGAGTCAGAGTGTATGACTATGGGTTGAGTTATTTGGGTTAAGCAAAACTATATAAATATTTTTAAAATGGCAGATCTGAAAAAAAAAACAAAAACAAAATATACTTGGTAGTCATATCCTCAGAGTGTCTAAGCCTGTGCATTTGTAAGGGCTCTTCAATCCAGTGCCTTAAACTTTATGTCAATAGTTGTTTTTGTGATAAGTAGTTAATTTAAGGTCTTTGGCTTTCAGGAAACTGTTTACTTTTTGATGAGCAGGGAAACCACTTACTTTTGAGCTAGGAAATTGCTGAGCATAAATGAAATTGTGGAACTTTAGACAATGAGTTTGACATTGTGAACACAGGAATCTTAAGTCTGCTCTGATCTTGGCAAACATAATTTCTAATACTGACTTGAGTCTAGCGTTCCTGGGGCAAGGGGGGTTATCACCAAAAAGATCTCTTTGGCTACTTTCACTGACTGTAGCTCTCAACCAAACTCCTACATAAATATTCTTCAACCTAGAGTTTAGGTCAGTTTGTGTTTGCTGTTAGTACTGTAAATTAGGAAGTAAAATAATTGCAACAACATTTACTCTTTAATTACAGTTCTTAAAAATGCCAGCTCTCAGCTTTAGTACTTTTGCTAACAGTATTGGGCCTTGGAATGATCAGCATATCCACTCCATAAAAGGTAAGAATAACTTAATTTGACTTCAGTCAGCCCCAGTGAAGCCAGGAGAGAAGATACAGGTGCCAATCATGGCGTCACAGATGCCACAGTTAGTCACTTACACATCTTTTGGCAATATGGACTATACGTGCCTTTCGGGTATCCTGTTAAAGGAGAACAAAACCATATGTGGTATTGTAACTTACAGCAACCAATGTTTAAATTCACACCAGTAGACATGTGGTTAACTCAACATTCCAATTTCTACTGGTATTTTCAATCACTTTCAAGCTGTTGATTCAAGGCATGGAGTTATCTGAGGATATGAGACGATACAGATAATTGTTAGTATTTGATGCTGCCCATTAATAAGGTATGACTTAACTTTGTGCTTCCTTGGGAATCTACCTACTTTTTAAAAGTGCTTAGGAGACAATTCACTGAACAAGGCTATCTAATTTCAACCTAGAAAAGTTCATTATTTTAAATATTTAAGTGCTATAGCTTGTCTTGTCTGGAATTATCTGGGTTTAATACATGTAAGAATTCAAAAAGAAACCAGATATAGAGGATGCCTCTTCATTTTATGTCAGTTTTTCAATTTTTTACTTTCATATCCAGGGAGGTACAGCCTACTGTGATGATACTGTGTAAGAGATAAATAATGGCCAAGGAATGGTTTTTGTTGAGATTCAAAATTTTACAATCCCCATGTATATCCTATCTCCAAATTCAAAATTCGCATCTTGAGTCTCAGATTTGCTTATAGACTCAAAGAGTGGCTGCTTCTTTCCTCCCTTTTCATTCCAGTTAAAAATGAAATTCTCCATTATGGAGATGGGAAGCAAACACTTTAAAACTGTTCATACCAAAGGTTATTCATCTGTACAGCTGTTGTATTTCTTTATTGCTTTCTGTGAAAAACAATGGGTTTACTTCATATTCTCTCCTGTCATTTCCTCCCATCAAGGGATGTCAGTTTTCATAGCTAATTGCCCTTTTTTTTTTGTGCACAGCATTTTTTTTAGTCCTCCCAAGTAGTTCTTTTTCTCTCTCACTTATAACAATTTGAGTGTACTAAAAACAAAGTCAGTGAGTGTACCTAAAAACAAAATTAGTGATTTTTTAAAAAAGTCTCCATCACCTTCTCTTCTACCATTCACCAATATATAAAATGCTTCTTTCACATCCATTTGGGTCAGTTTTGAGAATGTAAGTATTTACAGTTTTTATTAAGTTACTAATATAGTAAAATAAATGTGATGCTGAAAAAGAACATTTGGTTGCTTGAGATTAGAGAAAAATGCATGAAACAAGCTGAAAATATGGCAATTGAAACTTTAAGGTCTGATGTGCACTGCTGGCATGTTGCTTTCAAAAAAGGAGGTAAAATTAGTAAGAGTTGGCTGGTATAGAAAACTCTGCAGTGATATTACTGTGAAAGGAAAGATAACATGAATTTCTATGCAAGTAAGGAAAGGAGCAACACAACAAAGAGTGAAACTTGTGTTGTAATGGAGGGAAATGTTACGCTGTAGATATAATTACAAGTATCAAAGAATCAGTATCTCAGTTGAAAGGAAAAAACAGCTTGTGTAATTGAGGAATTTAAGTAACTGATATAGGTGAAGGTCTAGATTTTGAGATAATTTTCATGTGAATCAGTTACTTAGAAAACATAATTTTCCTCTGATATGAACCTATTTTCCAAACTTTCTTAATGATGGTTTTATATTTGATAGAATCACCCTTTGTTGTTCTTTCTTCATATATATATGTATATATACGTGTGTGTGTGTATATATGTATATATATATGTGTGTGTGTATATATATGTATATATACGTGTGTGTATATATATGTATATATACGTGTGTGTGTATATATGTATATATATGTGTGTGTGTGTATATATATGTATATATATGTGTGTATATATATGTATATATATGTGTGTGTATATATGTATATATATGTGTGTGTATATATATGTATATATGTGTGTGTGTATATATGTATATATGTGTGTGTATATATATGTATATATATGTGTGTGTGTATATATGTATATATGTGTGTGTGTATATGTATATATATGTGTGTGTGTATATATATGTATATATATGTGTGTGTGTATATATGTATATATGTGTGTGTGTATATATGTATATATGTGTGTGTATATATATGTATATATATGTGTGTGTGTATATATGTATATATATGTGTGTGTGTATATATGTATATATGTGTGTGTGTATATATATGTATATATATGTGTGTGTGTGTATATATATGTATATATATGTGTATATACTTGAACATCATCTGATTTTTAGCCTTCAACTTAATTATACTTTTGAAATTGGGAAACTGAACTTGATGAAATTAACCTACTAATGAGTGAGCCATCTGTTTGAAAAACAGTATCTGTGCTAACCTCTTAGTCCCAAAACTCATTAAATTTGTATCAAGAGTATGATATGTGTTTATAGATGTGCCAATGACATTTTTTTTCCAAGAGTAAATTATTTTATTGACAATTTCACTTCCCTATCCAATTCTGTGCTAAGTGAAGTTTGGATTCTGGAATCATGCACACAGCACTTGCTCAAATGTTCGCTAAATTTAACAAGAAAACGCACACCCAGGACACAATGATTTTATTTGGCTCGTCCCTTCCCTCATTTCCTAAATCCATTTTGATCTTTACTTGGCCTTTCCTCTATCCTTTACAATTATTTCTCCCTGGAAATTTTGTATTTCTGGCAAGTTGTGTTTAGTTATTTTCCATTATAAGGTGACTATCTTTTCCCATCCTTGCACATCCCCTTCTCTTGAATTCTCATTCCAAGAAGAAGCTTGGATGGGAATTTACAGTTCTGATTTATTTAAATATTAAAGGTTAAATGCCAAGCCCCTCTGCTACTGTATACTATTATTATGTGAGCGGCCTTTGGTACTATCATTAGAAACTTAAACAAGGCTATGACTGCATCCTGACACACGTAGCTCTCAAGAAATGAAAAGCATGAATCTGTTTTCCACAGAGTCTGTTTTCTTAGTATTTGATCAGGTTACTCAGATACACCAGCCATTGTTATGCTGTTTGGCTTTATTCTTAAAAGGAGATACTGACATTTGGTCTGTCTGAATTTTTATTGCTATGAGCAATAGCATTAAAACTCAACTTCTGTGAGTGTCTTGATATCTTTCTCTTGGCACTGGTGACTACTGTGTGGCCCATGCTTCTCAAAGCATTCTATACCAAGTGTGGGGGTGTTCTTATGAATACTGTTAAAAGAAGTGACCATAGTTATAGAGGACTCTAATGCCTTAAATATCCTCAAAGAGAGTGACTGTAAATAACATGTATTGCATACGGGTTGGAGAAATAAAAGGTTTCCAGGGTCTGTGGTCACTTTAAAACCTCTTATTGGTCATAAAATACATAGCACTATGAGTTTACATCTAACAGGAATTGTTGTTTTTCCTACATGCTATCCACAAGTTAGGACTGACCCATCTATCCTCTGAATTATGAAAAGTGATGAGATTCTACTGTAAGTTTGTCTGCTTCCTCTGACCTCTGCTGAGAGAAAATTTTGATTCTCCATTCTGAAGTTGAGAACATGAAAGCCCAGTTGTTCTTGGCTGCTGAAAGTTTTGTTTTTAAGCCAGCTACACCTTTTATGGATATTTTCTTGAATCTTTTTTCATAGTCCTGTAATTATAGTGGATGTTGCCAAGGAATCCTTGCAGCCACATCCAACCACGTGTTGCCTGGAAATAAGCCAATTTGACTAGTCAGAGAGCAGTTCCCTGACTCAGCCAGCCTCACTTTTTATGAGGTAAAGCTACCTCTTTCAACTAAAGGTAGCTTGCCTTCTGAAATAAAAGTGCAACCCAGTTACATGTAACTTGATATTATTTTATTAAGACAAAACATCCTTGATATAAAGAAGAAATTCTTTCTGAGACATTTGAATCAAATGTAGGAAATAACTTTCCTTCTTGCAATACAAGGATGCTTGAAATTTGCCATAACCAAAAACGAACAGAAATTGATTAATTTTATATTTTAGTTCTTCATTTTAAGTTTGAATAACTTCAGTGGTTATAGATCCCAAGCAATCAGTAATTGAAACCATTTTCATACATGTTTAATTGTGTTTTTAGCTGGTAATGTTTAACATTAGGAAAAAATAGGGAAGTAATATTCAAAATATATATTCAACGGCTTATAAAAAACTAAAATCAATAGCTTGACCAGGAGTCTATATTTTTGGTTCGAGGAGAAAAATCCCCAAATTATTCATATCCTTGTAGAATTAGGAAAGTAAAAGGAATCTGCTATAGGAATGACTAGGGAGGAAAGAGAGCAGCAGTTGCCAAGTTGGGGGAAAAATTAAATCTATAAAAAGTACATTATAAATAATTACAAGCTTAAAAAATAAGTAGCTGGCTGAACATTTTAACAAGCTCCTTGGGACTTTTTTTGTGCATTCTTCTATAACCATTTTCAATGTTAAAATATCCTTTAAAAAATCAATGTAAGGTGTTTGGTCTAGGGACTATTCTTTTTTATTACACAATAAGGAGCCAACTGGCATTTGGTCATTTAAGCTAGTCATCATTTTCATTCCAGAATAACAATTTGCTTAATTTAATTGTTCCTAAGCAGACCCTGGAATTAACTTACTTTGCGAATTACTTGAAATATATAGTAGTTTGTTGTATGTTGATTTATAATAATAAGTCTATGTTTTCTCATTTTTTCTTTCTCGTTTTTATCTCTTTTCATGTTGGATATTTGTGAAGAACTTGGGGATATTTTGAATAGAAAAGGCAAAATAGAAGAATGAGTTACAAAAAAAGTATATGTTTTCAATTATTCAAATATAAATTCTAACAGAATTTGCTGTGAATTAGAAGCTTGAATTAACATTTGCCCTTTGGTATTCTGAGTGATGACCCACCCTACCAGTGCCTCCTCAATAAATTATAGCTGAGCACAGAACACACACATGGAGAAGACAGTGGTTTACATGGTAGCCAGGCAGACAGGTGCATCTCCCTGTGACTGGGTGACAGTCCTCATTCTTGGCTGAACACTGACATACCTGGTTACAGTCCTTTCTATATGTGCCTGGTGGACAAACTAAGGGGAAGAGGAAATGTAAGCCCAATGAATTAAATTTGTCTGCGTAAATATAGCTCTAAAAGTGAAAGCAGAGAAAAATTTATTAAATAAGACCATTGCCTACAGAAGTGTGCTGCCCTTTGGGATTTAGGTTTCATTAAATTTATTTGGGGATTACTTCACTGTTTGATTTTGTTTTGTTCAGTCAATTTGTGACCGACCGTCAAGGGCCGGTTGCAATTTTCTTGTCACAGAAAAAAATCATACGGTAATGTCAGGTAAAATCAACTAAAATAATAGTATAATTCATGAGGGACCACATATCTGGATAAAGTTTTTTTTTTTTCTAGTGCAGCCAGTTTAAACTCGCAAGGTTGTTTCTCTTTGCACATTAGCATGCATTGTATTTGTGTCACCTGTCAGCCACTCTGCTGGGTTCTGCTGTTTTCTTTTTACAGACTGTGCAATGAAAGCTTCCCTCCAGTTTTTAAATAACGTCATGACAAAAAAAAAAGGGTTTCTGGGTATTTTTCAGCAATAAAATGAAGTTAAGTAGACATTTTGAGTTTCATGGTTGTGTCTTCATGAGAATTCAAACAAAATCAGTGAAACAAATCAGCCAAGTTGGTATTTAGGTCCCACAGACCTAAAATTGAATAATAATCATTAGACCAACCATCTTATTACCTTGGCGCTTAGCATCAGGAGTACATGAAAGAATTAACGTTATTGTTTTGTTCACTGCATCCATGTTTTTGTTTACTGATCTTGTATGCCTATGGTGTCTCTTGTATTCTTAGCATCCACTATCCTTAATGATATTTAATCTCACAGCTTTAAGTAAAAGTAACAGTGGTGTAGAAACTCCATCGGTTGCTTGCTTAGCATTAAAAACAAAGTGATAGATGAAACACAGGGTGATTAAGGAAAAAAAAATTCTCTTTTTTTCTCCAATACTTGATTGGAACATGCACAAATATAAGAGCATTAGGTGGACTCTGACTCAGTATCTGAACAGTTATTTTTATAGTCTGCTGTTAAGTCTAGACATCTTTTTATCTAAGAGTCACTAATTGTTCAAATATTTATCAATAAAGTATTCATCCTGAACTTGCCAGATACACCAAAAAGTACACCACGTGGCTTTACTGTCTGGAAAGTTTGGTTGATAAGTGGCTAACAAGAGAACTGACCATGCTATTTCCGAGGTAGCTGGGAGTGGATGCACGTGATGTTCTTACTTCCTCTGTCTCATTGTCATTAAACACATGAGGGCATCAGCTACATTCCACTGTGACTTGATGAAAGGAACTACCTCATGGGAGGTTTCTAACATGAAAGGCCAGTAAACAATAATTAAAAAAATAGAAATATGTTTCATTAGAGGCTTCTGAAAGCTTTAGAAACCAAGAGCTAAAGTTATTACAAATTCATCCCATCATTGGGAAGATCTGTTTTTGCCACAGGATACATGAGCATAAAACTTGATCTTCCCATAGCAAATATGCCCACAAAACACTGAGCTCTGAGGAGACTAATTATACTGAAAAGTGAAAGTGGCTGTGCTGAACACAATAGGGTTTGTGTAATAAATGCTAGTATTCCAATCTATTTAGCCATTCCCCAACTTGAGGTATGGAGCCCAGTGGCATAGGGCTTTGAAGGAAGGGACGTTTGGGCTGGTGTGCTTTGAGAGAGAGAGGGATGTCATGTAAATTGTGCTGGTCTGAAAGTATCCAGTAAAGATAGTGTGGTCCAAAGGAAATTACAGGAACTTTGGGTTAGGCAGGCCCAACACTGCCATTGACCTGATCTCTGGTATTAAAGTTATTTGAGCTCTAAGACCCTCAGTTTTCTATTCTATAAAGTGAGATTAATAGAATCTATCTTACAGATTTTTATGAGGAGTAACACAGTTGAAATAGTAACGTATAGGAATCTCATAGTGCCTCAGCAAAATTTATTTCCTTTCCATGAAAACCTTTATAATTAAAAATCAGAATCAACTGTTCAACAAAGGTGCTGGACAAGCAACATAGAAAACATCAGCAAAATTATTGAGAAAAATTGTTTAACATTTGAAGAACATCTTTACATGTATCTGCTATTCAGAGAAAATTATTTCTTAAAAACGAACATTGAAATTATTTGATGTAAAGTTTCAGAAACACATGTAAATAAAATTTATCCATATTCTCATTAATTCCCAATGTCTGGGGCTTTATGAAACTAGTCACACATGTTAATCACTTCTCCATACCAAAAGGAGCCCAGGCACATCTTTAGCTTTGAGTTGAAATATAGAGGAATCAAAGTTGTAGAATATAGGAATAATTTACTCTTGAGCAATTTGACCTCTTAGGGTTATTACAGTCAGTTCTCAAGTGGATTTTCAAACCTTACTGAAGGAATTTACAATTTGTTTTGCAAAGCAATAAAATGAAAATGAAAATAAAGACATAAAAGCAAGAAAAAACATTCTGAATGTTACCCAAAAATAATTTTTGAGAATACAGTATTTCTTATATTAGATAGTCATCATGAAAATTGTCCATCAATTATTACCCAACTAAATACTAATGACTTTGAGACTTCAGAGGAGATCAAAGCCTGATGGCTTCATGTTCTCTGCAAGAGATGGTAAGTAACAAAAACAATCACTCTTGTTAGTTTATTGTCTCATGCTTCTAGATGGACTACATTGTAGTACACAGTTTCAGTCAATCTTACAAGAAATGAAGAATTCTGAATCTTTTCATTCAGCCAAGAAATATTCTCTGAATACCTACTGTGTGCCAGGTTCACAACAGTGAGCAAAACCAGGCATGATTCTTGTACCTTGAAACTTGTAATAGTGAAAAGAAACACGATTAAATAATCATTCAAATTAATAGCTAATTTAAACAAGTGACAAAGGTGCAGGCTGCTGTGAGGAAAATAGTATCAGGGACCCCAATTTAGACTGGCAGGGGTGGGATGGAGGTGTTTAGTTCCAGATATTCTCTCTGAGGAGATCACTACTTCACTGACATCCAAAACACTAGATAGAGTGTAAAAGTACACATAGAGATGGGCCGGGCACGGTGGCTCACGCCTGTAATCCCAGCACTTTGAGGGGCTGAGGCGGGGGGATCACGAGGTCAGGAGATCAAGACCATCCTGGCTAACACGGTGAAACCCCGTCTCTACTAAAAATACAAAAAATTAGCCAAGCGTGGTGGCGGGCGCCTGTAGTCCCAGCTACTCTGGAAGCTGAAGCAGGAGAATGGCATGAACCTGGGAGGTGGAGCTTGCAGTGAGCCGAGATTGCATCACTGCACTCCAGCCTGGGTGACAGAGGGAGACTCCATCTCAAAAAAAAAAAAAAAAAAAAAAAAAAAAAAAAAGTATACATAGAGATAAGGGGAAGAAGAGGAAGAAAGAGTAGGGAGGAGAAAACAATTCCACAGGGAAAACACTGGGTACATAGGAGTTACTGACATGATTCTTAAGGATACATTGGCAAAGGTATATATGCGTGTTAGATTGTTATAAACATTTTTTTGGGTCTTCTTAAATTATTTTTATTCTTTCAACATTAGAGAAAATTTATTAATCAAATGACGACATTTTTTCAGCAGGTTCAGATTAAGCAAAACTCTACAGAATATACACGAAGTATAGTGATGTTCTATCAAAAAGCAGAATGAATTATAATTATGATAATATTTTGGCATATTATCAGATATACACCTGCAGAAATTCCCATGTTTAGTGGCAATATTTTTTTTTTTATTATTTTGTTTTTTATTTCAATAGGTTTTTGGGGAACAGATGGTGTTTGGTTGCATGAATAATTTCTTTAGTGGTGATTTCTTATAAACATTTCTGTGTCAGTGTCCTATGGCTGCTGCAGTAAATTACCACTAATATGCATTTACAATTTAGTGTCTTTAAACAATATAAATGTATTATCTCATGATGCTGAAGGTCAGAAATGTAAATCAGGTTATTGGGGAGGACTATGTTCCTTCTGGAGGCTTGAGGGGAGAATAGATTTTCTTGCTTTTTCCAGTGTCTAGAAGCCACCTACATTCCTTAGCTTGTGACATCTTTCTCCATCTTCGAAGCCAGCAGCTTAGCTTCTCTCTTCTCTGATCTCCTTATAAAAACTTTCATAATCACATTGGGCCTACTCAAATAATCTAGGAAAATCTCCCCATTTCACGATGCTTAACTTGATCACATCTGCAAAGTCCCTTTTGCTGTGTAAGGTAATGTATTCATATTCCAGGAATTAGGACATGGGCATCTTGAGGGGCCATTATTCAGCCTGCCATGACCTCTGTATTCTCAACTATTTTAAGTAGCTTCTGACTCATCTCTTACAGACCATGTTATCATGTGGGTAGTGTTCTTAACAATAGCCTGATGTACAACTCTTTATAGACATGAATACAAATATGATATTTTTAAAAACTATGTGACATAAAAATACATGGACAAATTATGACCAATTATTTTTAAAATTTTACTTAGTTAATGGATGCAAAAGAAAAGTTTTAATACAATGTCACGTTGAAAAGGACTTAAGATTCTTGGGATAAGGTCAGGAGCCAATAAACATTTTGAAAGCAGCTTGAGACTTCCAGAGATATGAAAAAGGAAACTCAGAAAGAAGACCTGTGAATTAAAAAGAAAAACTTCCCAAGGTAAAACTTAGAGAAACGAAGGACTAACTGTAGATCACAGTAGAAGTCTGTAGACCAGAAACTACTTGCTTCCTTTAGTGGTCTGTATAACATTACTGCCCTGTTTTTTTAAGAAAAGACTTTAAGGGCACCCCACTATCTAGATAACAGCATGTGCCTTTTGCATGAAGTTTTCTTTAAGCAGTTGCTATTGTGCATATAATATGATAAGCAAACACTAAATCACTTGCATGAATGACTTGGCCAATAAGTGACAAAACCAGGAACAGAACCAGGTTACTCTCAGAAATGAGCTCTGAGCTTTTTCCAGTCTCTCAGGGCTTCTTCTTAGGAAGTGAGAGGTACAGTATTATATAACCTTGAAGAGATCACAAAGGCAGATAACAGGCAAAGCTGTGGTTTAACTTGCTGGGTAGGAAAATCAGCCTGAAAAGCTTTACATTAATTTCTTATTCATCTCGTTTCCTAATTAGCCATCCAGGCCACAGGAAGAACTGGTCAAACCAGTTTGAAGTAATGTAGCTGATACTTCTTCCTAGTTAAAATCATTCTGGGCAACTAAATGACCACAAAACCTCTACTGATAGCATCTGTATAGATTTAAGGTATTTCTCCATATTAAAGGTACATTTTACTCTGAATTAATCAGTTAATGTACTAAAAAATACGAATAAATAGATAGTGCTGTTTTGACTTAGGTAGAACATAAACATTTTGACTATGAAGATATAACCTAAATATAGGTAAATACCCCAAAAAATTGGAAGGGGAAAATTTATTGTTTTGATTTGTTGACTTCTCAGTAATTTCATTGATTTTCGATAAAAATTGAGGATCAGCTTTGCTAAGATTCAAGTTGAGACAAAGTCAACTAGAGAAAGAAATTAGTTAATCTTCATAAATATTGCACCTTGCCTAGTTGTAAACTGTAGGGTAAATTTTATAATTGTATTTTATGCTTCTGAGAAATAATAATTATTTTCTTCAAGGTGACTTCTGAAAGGTGATTACTTTTCCATCAAATTTAAAGACAAATGAGATATTAACTAGAGAATTTCAATAATATATCCTTATTGAATTATTTTATATATGGCTTTATCTAATATTGCCAATGAACAATATTTCTAGCTGGCAAATATTTTATGCGATGGCATATAGACATAGCACATATAAGAAAGTGCAATGAATTGACTTTTTGTTAAATTAGGACTGTTTTAGTATTTGCCATGGCATGGAATGTCTTACTACCACCTTGTAGTAAGACCCTGTTCAGCCTGGCAAGAAGATACATTGTGGAGTCTAAGATCACATTCCCTCCACTGTGGCAATTACAAACTCCATGGCCATATATACCAGCACAATGTCTCTAACAAGCTAAATAAGCATATGCAGAAAGAAAAGTGTTTCGGTTTGTTAAAAGAACTATCCAACACCCTGCCGGTTAAAAAAAAAAAAAAAAGCCTATGGCTTTCATGATGGGCAGAGGGGTGTATTCAAATTTCATTTAATACTTTGCTTCCCACAAATTGGGATTGACCTTTTGTGGTTTATGACAGCATTTTTTGCTCAGGTCTTTATCAAAGGCCTGGAACCACTGGGGTGATAGATCAGCTGTCATCCACCCGTTCCTCAGAATGTCTTTGTATTAAACTAATGGTCCAGCAGAGCAGCCAGTCTGACAGGCAGGTTATTTATTTGCAATCTGGTAAAAGAACCGACAACTTCATTGTTTTAATTGTTCATTTTTCATCGGTTGATGCATTAGCTCACCCGGATCTTTATGCCTCAGTCAGAGAATAAATACTTGGGAGTCAGGACACCAGAATGACTGGGTCCCTCTTAAAGTTCAAGAAGTTGCAGATAGCCTCAGTGCTAGCTGTGATTACCAGCAGCCCATGTGCATTTGGGGACTTTTTTGGTCTTATCTCTGCTCTGCATCTCTTTCCTTTCTTTCAGGAAGACCTATGATGTCAGCTACTGATCTGATTGTTTCTTGAAACAATGTTCCTAGTTCTCACAGCCTATTAAAGGAGAAAGACTGGAGTGGGATGAGAGTCTCCACAGCTCCATGAGGGTGGGGGCCTGCCAGACAGACAGAAGTAGAGGCCCAGAGACCTCAAATATATCATGATATCATGGAAAATAGATTTAGCTCAGGCCAGTGTCTCTCGGAATCACTGGCAAGCTTTTTGCTAAAAATGCATGGCCTGGCCTCCCCTGGGTGATTCTAACTTAGTGACTCTTTGGTGGAAATTGTACATATATACATATATATGTGTCTCTGTGTGTGTGTATATATATATATACACACACATACACTATCCACTATATATACATACCTACATATATACACACTATATGCTATACACTATAGATACATACACACTGTGTGTGTGTGTGTGTGTGTATATATATATACACATACACTATATATACTAGATGGCTAATTAGGAAACAGTTTTATATATATATACACACACATACATATAAAATTATGTTTCCTAATTAGTCATCCAATAAATAATGTCCAATAGATAATTATTTTTATTAGCTATAAATATAAATGTATATTTATGTCAAATATAAATTTAATGTATACATGTTTTTGAATCCTGTAATTTAACTGTTAGTTGAGATTCATTGATCTGGAGTCTAGACCAGCACCCTCAATCTACAGATATAAGATATGCAATAGATTGAATCACTGAATCAAGGGCATAGCTAATTAGTAGCAAAGCTAGAACTAGAACCCAGGCATGTGGACCTTCAGGACAATGCACTTTTTATCCTCAACATCAGATACTATTCTCCAGAAACAACTGAGACATTGGTTCTATCAATGGTTTTTGCACATGCTAATGTATCAAGGCACTATAAGGAGGTCTCCATTTGCTCTCAAAGCTCATCTCAAAAGTTGACCTTTAGAGAGCAGAGGACAACTCAACAGTTCAATTACAACCATGGAGGGGGTTCCTGTGAAACTATTGGTACCCAAAGTTTATTATTACTTTACTGTTTTCCTTCACATTAAAATTGAGAACACTTCTAGGAGGGAGGCAACGTTTTAGTTTTCTCAATGCATCTGACACCTTACATAGAACCTAAAATACTGAAGGCACTCAATCAATGCTTGGAGGATAGAGAAAGGAAAGAAAAAAGAAAGAAAAGAAGGGAGGCAGGCAGGCAAGCAGGCAAACTTCTCTAGTACAATATACATAATTGTGTAAAAAGCTTGCTCTATAAAAAGACAGAACACTGGCTCCCTGTATGGTGTGTTTACATGTTCATTTGCTTATTAAACAATTATTCAATATTTACTATGGATCACGGTCCTGTGCTTGACGCTGATGACATAAAATTGAATAAAATTAGTGTTGTGGCTGGGCGCGGTGGCTCACATCTGTAATCCCAGCACTTTGGGAGGCTGAGATGGTGGATCACCTGAGATAAGGAGTTCGAGATCAGTCTGGCCAACATGGCGAAACCCTGTCTCTGCTAAAAATACAAAGATTAGCTGGGCATGGTGGTGGGCACCTGTAATCCCAGCTACTCGGGGGCGCTGAGGCAGGGGAATCACTGGAACCTGGGAGGTGGAGGTTGCAGTGAGCTGAGATCGTGCCATTGCACTCCAGCCCCCAGCAAGAGAGAGACACTCTGTGTCAATAGACTGATTCAGGAAGATACGTGAAAAATTAACACAGAACAATCTGACAAGTGCTACTAACAGAGACTTGTAAAAAGGATGAAAGCATCCTAAATAATAGTCAACACCATCAGGAGGGAATCAGGGTGTCCTTACATGGTAGCATTAGAATTGGGGCTAGAAGAGTGAATAGAAATTCACCAGTCAGAAGAAACAGTGTAAATAAGTAAAGTGTTTTATTCAAAGTGATAATTACATTTGCTTCATGGCTAGAGGACAGGATTTAGGGACACGTTTGATGTTGGAGAGTTGTGTGATTCCTTAAAAGTGACGGGTTTTTAACACCTTGCTGAAGGCTTAATCTTAGGTGCGTAGGTAGCCATAGGAATGTCATGATCAGACTGATGACAATGTGCATATTGGATTGGAGGATGATAGCCCAATTGGGGCCATTGCCAGCATTCCAGCAAGAGACAACATGAAGCAGAACCAGATATCTTGAAAAGAATGGGGACAGAAGCTATGCCAAAAGATCTTTTTGAGGTGTTACGGAAAGTACTGATGACAGATTGTGTAAGAAACCAGAGGAGAGGCTCTATCTGTTCCTAAATATTTATTCCATTGTTTGTTGTCATTGTTTATTCTTGCCATATGACCTTGCTCTTCTAAAATGGCCTAAGATTCTCACATTCTAGTTATGAATAGATTAAAAATATTAAGACATTGACTTTAGAAGGCTACAGCAAATAGTCACATCTGAATCAACATGTTGACTTCCTTATGTTTATAAAAACAAGCTTTTTCAGCTTGCCTTTTAAGTAGGAGCACTGGATAGGGAAGGCACAAGACAGAGCAGAGGCATTGTAAGAGATACAGATTGTGGATGTTCTGGGGGCTGAAGGTTGGGAAGCAACATGAGCATGTGTATCAGAAAAGAGGGATGGTCCTAAGGCCATGGCTCTAGGACAGGTCCTGAAAATAAGCTCTACCTGGTTCATTCCTTTTAGGCTTGTTTTCTGAGTATATGCTCATCTAGGGAACAATCTCTAAGGAAATGTTCATAGTGTTTCAGTGCTGAATTCAAAGTGATAATGTTCCTTTTTGCAATGGGCACCTTATTTACTATTGTTAGCATGGCATCCCCAAGGGCACTGATGACAGCTGCTGTCTCATTTGTGAAATTTGGTAGTTGCCATCCTCCCAATGTGTGGATAGTGCCCATAAATACCTAGCAATAGTTTCCCCTATCAGTGCTCCAGACAAAAACTGAACAATGAATCTAAATTCTGAAATATTAAAATTTTAATATAATGCTAATAGATTATATGAATACTCCTGGAAGATATATACCCATCCAGTAAAACCAAGGGTTAATTTATTCATGCATGTTTTCCATTTTTTCTTGTATTTTGTCCAGTTGCTAAAAGGCAAAAATAAGTAGCATGGTCAAAATACCTGTGGTGAGGATACTAACCTTCAGCAAATTTTCAGAATGCATGAACTCAAGGGAGGAAGGGGTAAAAGAGAACTTTGCAGAAATAGAAGGTAAAAATGACCAGATATCAGTTTAACAAATGAATGCCATGGAGACTAGAGGAAAGGATCACAATGAAAATAGTTGACATTTTCTGAGTATCTACTATGTGTCAGGCATTGTTCTAAACTCTCTGCTTGTATTATCTCATTTGATGACCAAAACAACCGCTTGAGGGAACAACTATTATTATTTTCATTTTACAGAGGAAAGTAAGGAAACGAATGTGAAGTCATTGGTCCAAAGTTTATACAATCAGAGTCAGCATTCTCACTCATGATAAGATACTGTGTCCCAGAAATTACTACAAGTACACTAACAGGAGACTATGAACATACAATATTGATTTATGGGCACTTGCAGAAGGATCTATGACCCATGTCCTTACTTCATTTCAAAGAATCAGTATAGTTCAGTGAGAAGAGGTCTAGAAAGACGGCTGAGAGTTATTGATTCTTGCCTGTGTTACCCTAAAAATGTTACCTCATCTCTGAGGACCATATTGCCTTCTGTAATTTCCATGGCTCCATTTAGTATTAAAATTAAAATATTTTTGAAACAAAAATGATCAGTAAAGCATCACTAATAACAGAAATCTGGTACAATCTACTCCGTATGCATATATAACAAGTTGGTCCTGCTATATGTAAAACCATAGTAACTAACAAGTTAGATTAGATCCTATAATTTTCTTTTCTATGAAACAATTAGGCATTAAGTTTGAAATGCTATGTCACCAGGAACGACTTTCTTCAAGATATGTGGAATTTAAAGGACAGGAGTTGTACACAAAAAAGGAACACCCATGTTCAATGCCCTGAGTTAGTAGATTGCAGCAGTCATACTTGAAGCAAGAATTCTCCTTCGAAATGTAATGAAAGTGTTAGCAATACCCATTTAGAACCCAAACAGACTAGGTAATGAGCAATATGTTAATTAGACAAGAAGGGGCCAGGAAGAGGAGGTGCTTACTTAGTAGGAAAGAAGCCCTTGAATCCAAAATACCTGAGTGTTTGTGATTCAGCTCAAGAATCTTAATACTCCCTTAAATGTATATGCAAGAATACATTTAGAATACTTACAGAATATGGGAGGTAAAAGCAGCATAATTAATAGTAACTATCTCCTCTTTTCAGAGCTGCTACCAGAGAGAGGCACTTGCTTTTTTGCTATGGTCCTGGAATGTTAATTTTGAGTATCCATATAAAATAAATCTTTAATAAAAAGATTTCTTTATATCATCATGAAGGTCAAGTGAAAGTCAACAAATGATAATCCAATATACTAATGAAATTTCTTTATTAGTGACCAGCTCAAATTCTGACCTGCGCAGGTTCTGTTTGGCCATTTGAGTATTATCCCCTCTTTATCACTATGGATAAATAAATGGAAAAAAATAGAACTATAAAAGTACCAGTTAATGTTACTTTGCATGATGCAATACAATCAAATAACCACAGGAGAGTAAGTAGATTCTTGTCAGTTCAAATCATAGAATCATGCTTTCAGATCACGGCTTGTGAAAACATATGTCCTTTTCTTGACACTGGTATTTTAAAGAAAGATACAAAGATTCACACATAAGTATTTTATAAAGATTCATTCACTCAATTTGCAAATATTAATTCAATAATTAATATGCCATATGTACTAAGGTTATGTGGGAAAAGCTCAAAGTTGACCAGATCTCAGGGTTTTCTTTATTTCAGTCACTTCTTTGTCTGAATTCCTTACGAATAAGAACAAGATGTTTGAGGAAATTGGCCCCTAACTTTTATGAATTGTTAATCTCAACTTCAGCTACTTTAACTGCCAACTCTTCAAAATAAACTCCAATTCAATTAGTAATAAAATACTATAACTCTCAATGAAGCTCTCTCCCTTCCTAGTGGCAGTTTACTTGGTCTAAAGTAAGAAATTGAAATGAACTATGTACTTCATTTTATCAGTCTCTTTTTACATATTGTCCTGAATAAGTCATAGTCTTTCTTAATAATTTGAAAGCATTATCGTTTGTGTCCCGGGAATGACTAGAGAAGCTTTTAATATTATTAAGTCTGGATCAAATCAATCCAGTGTAACTTGGGCATGGGACTAATGTTTCTTTAACCACACCCCCTTCTTACCAATTATTCACAACTATATTGGTGGCCTTGTTAGAAAATCCTTGCCGTCTATGATCAGAGGTTCCAGAAACAGGCCACTGTTATACATTTTGCTGACAACCTTTGAACCAAGCTGCCAAGTCAAAGCTTACCATACAATCTTAAAATCCAAATGATGATTCATTGTTTGCAAACAGAGAGACAGATTACCATTGTTAACTTGACCTTAGTCTCTAACTCTGAGTCAAAAATGCTTAAAGACCTGGGCATCTTAACTGGAGCAAGACATAAATCAAATTACCTTCAACACCACAAAGCAATGAATGGTTGGCATCTTACAAACTGCAAAGTGCAGTGGGTTTTCCTCGGAAGATGAAGTTGAAACTGATGACAAAAGACCCCATTACTTAATTGAGTTTAATAAAATACGAAGGAACAAACTTTGCCATAGGTTCAAATAGTTTGATGAATAAATAGGGTCATTCTGAGAGCTTGCTAATTGCATAGTTCTTGGGAACAAAGTTTTTCTGATTATGAGTGAAACAACAAAAGGGAAACTATCCAGAAATGTAAGTAATATTGTCTCAACTTCCTTGCTGCAACCAAATGAAATCAGTTATTTATATTTTGTAGTGGGTTTACTTGCAAGATTTAGATCAAGATAAGAGGGGTGGGAGCAAAAAGGTCGCTAACAGTGAGACAAGGGGAAAGAATTTGGTCTGGAAAAGACAAGCAATTTTGGTAAGTGAAAGCGGTGTAGTGAAGTTGGTTAGGCAGGAGCTAAGGCCGGGCCAAACATGATCTTCAAATAAAAATTTTACAATTACGTTAAATTTCATCATGTCATGAGTTAGACTGCAATTTCCTTAAATGTTGGTTGAACTGAATTGAGGCAGTGTGGATCCATAACTGAGGAAAAGAAAGACTTGGAAGTTTCAATAATAACAGGTCATTATTGCTTTTGGTGTAAGATACCAACTCTACTTTTTCCACTGAGTTTTAGCTAGAAACTAGAGGTAGAAATTAAAATGCATTTATGATTTTTTGAAATGCTTATAAAATTCAGTTTTGAGGTTTCTTTTTACTTTTCCAATATATGAGCAAAAGTTTGTTAAATTGTTCATATTTATTGCATTCACTTCATTATATACTCAAATGAAGTATATGTGAGTATATAATGCTCAAGGCTGTAGGCTTTGTCTTGAATTTGTAAGACCACTTGCTGTCCATAGAAGTCCCTGTATTCCTCTTGTAATGAATCCAGTTTTATTTTTATTATTATTATTATTTTTTGAGATGGAGTCTTGCTCTTGTTGCCCAGGCTGGAGTACAATGGCACGATCTGGGCTCACTGCAACCTCCGCCTCCTAGGTTCAAGCAGTTCTCCTGCCTCAGCCTCCCGAGTAGCTGGGATTACAGGCACCTGCCACCATGCCTGGGTAATTTTTGTATTTTTAGTAAAGACGGGTTTTCGCCATGTTGCCCAGGCTGGTCTCGAACTCCTGATCTCGTGATCCACCCGCCTCAGCCTCCAAATTTATTTTTATCTTATTATTATTATTATTATTATTATTATTATTATTAGAGACAGAGTTTTGCTCTTGTTGCCCAGGCTGGAGGGCAATGGCGCCATCTCGGCTCACTGCAACCTCCGCCTCTCGGGTTCAAGCAATTCTCCTGCCTCAGCCTGCCAAGTAGCTGGGATTACAGGCATGTGCCACCATGCTCAGCTAATTTTGTATTTTTAGTAGAGACAAGGTTTCTCCATGTTGGTCAGGCTGGTCTCAAACTCCTGATCTCAGGTGATCCGCCTGCCTTGGTCTTCCAAAGTGCTGGGATTACAGGCATGATAATCAAGTATTTTTAAGCCTCTGTCCAAAATGTATGCAGTTCATGATGCTGCAGTAGAATCTTTATTTCCATAGGCATCTATTTGATCATAGCATTCAGATTGGAGGTGCTCCCAGACATTCACTCCCGCTCCAAATTCTTTAGAAATCACATTATGAAACCATAAAGCTTCCAGCCTTGGAATAAAATCCAGTTTTTAAAACCAAACTAAATCAAAATTAAATGTTGAAAAAGTTTAAGATCGATAAAAGATAACACTGATTCCAATATTTTAGAAGGTCGTATTTGTTATTTACTTTTCTGCTTCAGACCTGGGAGAGGGTAGGACTCTGTTATGAGTCTGTGTGCATGATGATTCAATATTATTACTCTTGGTGTCTCTATAAAAGTAATGGTTTTGTAAAACATTATTGAAAATTATGCTAGAAAAATATTTTTCTACACAAACAGCAAATAAGCCCTTCAGAAAGCTCTTCCCAAAATACTTTATAATCCAATGTTTCCAACTGAAGATGATATGTCCCAGAAACACTACAGATATTTCCCCTTTTAATAGCTTGCCAAAGTGTAAGCTCTTGTGAAATTTAAAGTGTTTAAACATTTGTACAAGCTAGTTACTTAGAAGCACATCGGCATTTCTTTGTGCCTCTGGAGAATGCAACTTAATAGAACGTGGCATTCAAGCACACCTGAGGATGCTAACAGCATGCACATGCACCGAAGGATACTAGCAGGATACAAACACAACTAAGGATGCCAATACATTCATGTACCTCTTATGTGACCTTATCAACCTGCTGTCAAAAGCGCTGGTTGAAACATAAAAATTTCAATTTTTCATCTGATTATTTTGCCCACCCTAACTGGTCTGATTTTTTTCTTTTGAATTATTGAACTGATTAGCTACTCCATGGTATGAGGTAGAGGCTGTCATTTAAACGATTGGAACTATACAGATTCTTTCCCAAAATATCAATGTAAAGATGTTTTTAAAGAAGATATTTTGCAAGTTGACACTAGAATAGCATGTAAGAAACTTCTTATTTGAATGTGTGTTCATTAACCAGAATTGTATTCATTTTTAACTAAAGAATTTATTGGATAATATGGGAGGAGTTGAAACCTACAAGTGTGACACCCCCATGTTCATCAGGTGGAACTGCTCTGTCTATTCTATTGCTGTCTTTGACTCCAGCCCAGGCAGGGAGGCAGTGAGGAGCCCCTCAGATAGAGCGACAGTCACACACTTGATGACAATTCCAGCCACAAAAATCCACCTGAACAAGTTGAAAATGGAAAATAACAAATCAGCTTCTTTCTCTCTCTCTTTTTCCTTTAATATAGAACCTGTTTCTGTGTACTTTTTTAGTATCTGGCAAATGAACCAACTCTGTTTCTAGGCTTCTGGGCATATACTTTTCAACCACTTGGAAACCTTTAATTTTTAAAAATAGTTTCGTCAATCGTGTTTAAAAGCATTTGACCCTCTGTCAAATTATTCATTACATCTCTAACATGAAGCATGGAGAATTTTATGCACAATATATGTTATGGAGAATATAGAATGATTAAGAAATATTCAGTCCAAAGGTTATTTTACACAACTGATAAGACATTGCTACACAACTGATAAGACATTACTGCACAGCTGGAGCTTTTAATCCAAAATCACATTTTTCAACACAAAAACTACAGCACAAGGATGAAATAAATTCTGGTTTATCTATACAAGTCTCTTTTCTTTCTGATTTGTATAAATGCATTTTTATTAAATTATTACTTTTATAACAACATTCACACTCAGGAATTCATCCCATATACATAACTCATTTCTCACAAACAAAAACCATATCCATATATATAACTAACTCATTTTTCCTGGTTCATATGTATTTTCCTTTTGTAGCAATGCCATATTTTGAAGTTCACAAATTGACGGCTAATAATAACAATCCCACTTCATTTCATCTCCTTTTTCTCAAATAATTTAGTTAATAACAAAAAATGGAAATAGGACAACCTAAAAATTCAGAGATCTCAAAATAAGAAATGATTGAGGCATGTAAGTTACACTGATTCTTATCTGGTTGGGTTAGGAGACAGGAAGGAGGGGCTGTGTCCTCAGCACCAGCCAAAGTCTAACAAAATCCACATATCCACAAAAGCTGGAATGTGGATTTAGAACATACTATTCTAAAGCTTGAAGTATAAGTGACAAAAACAAAATAAAACAAAAACAATCAAACGAAACACCCAGAGAAAACACAAACCATAACATAAAAACAAACAAACAAAAAGACAGTGTTACTCTAGTACCTCTAATACTTCTTTACTATCTTATTTTTCTACATCTGGCATTTTGCATTTACATAGAGCCAGAGATGGTCCATGCAAGCAGGCACAGAAACCACTTATGAAATATTCAGTGCTTGAAAACACATCTCCTGCTCACCACTCCTTAAAGTATTCCCTTAAGAGAAGCTCTCCTTTGAGGCACCCTCCACACCTCAGTAGATATATTCAACTAATATGAAAAATCAGAATATTTCACTCCCTGTAGAGATTGCTGGGACAAAACTAAACATAGTTAGATTGCTGGGACAAAACTAAACATAGTTAGGTGGCAGGGGAAAGGAGGAAAGAAGCACTCAGATGGGAAAAATATGGGGATGGTTGCAATGGCAGTAGATATGCCTTGCCTGCTTTGCGCTTTTCCAAAATGGGCTTGTCACTTGATGGGATAGTTTTAGGTCATGTATAATATATATGGCTATCACTGAAATAACCAGTTTTTCCTCCAAGGAAAGTGAACAAAGCTGGTTCAGTAAACTAGCCAGCTTCTGTTGTAATTATTTTCAATCTGCTACTTTGGGTGTATATTTAATCTAGTAATAAAAATATTTTGTTAGGAAAAAAATACTTGACATTTCAATTCTGGGCATTTTGTTCTTTGCTAAAAACTGAGAGGAAAGGGTGGGTGTTGTAGCTTAGAATGAAAAGAAAAGAATGGGCAAATTGTGATAGACATTCTCTAAGGAGAAAGGAAAAAACAGGCTTGGAAGGTTAAGTAAAATTTAGATAAGAAACTTCAAGTTTCTTTATTGAAGTTCTTTAAATTGATGATCATAATAACGAAGAAGTAAAAAGAACATTGTCCAAATATTCAGTCTAATTTGTATGATAGGAATACTAATGTCTGACCACCGTATTTTATACAGTTTTTATAATAAACAAAAATTTTCAAATGATATAAAATTATTGTAGCAACTACTAAGCACTTACTTAGATATAGCATTGGTTTTACTCTCACTAGTTTATGGAAGCCAGGTCAGTTTGCCCAGTGATGTCTTTTCTGGTCACTCTGCTTCCATCTTTGATAAAATTTGTGAAACACAGTTTTGAAAGTAAAAAAAATTTAATTGGGATAGTTAAATAATTAATTGGAGAAAGTTATCACAGACCTAGAACTTTTAACTACTGCCAAGATATTATTTTTTTCCTTTCATAGACTGGCAAAGATTACAAGGTTTGACGTACATAGTATTTGTCAGAGTCAGAGCTAAAAGTACTTCTCACACCTATATGGTGTGAGTGTAATTCAGTGAAACCATCTTTTCTGAGGGGGATAGACACAGTTTTAAGTAAACAAGCTTTATAATTATGCAGCTAGGGAATTTAACATGCAGAGAAATTATACCTGTGCAAAGAAATAAATGCAAGATTTTTAACTGCAGCATTGTTTTTAATAGCAAAAGACTAAAAATAGTCTAAATATTTATCTGTAGGGGATTTATTAATACATTTTAGAGACATACAAAATAATACTCTGAAACCATATACAAGAAAAGGCAGGTCTGTGTAGACTGATAATAGAAAGATGCCTAAATGTATGGTTTAGTGAATAAACAAAGAAGCAAAACATAAAATAAATCTTTAGTGCAATCACATTGTGTAAAATAAAAAATACATGATAAGCTTAAATGTGGAAAGAACCCCAGCACACTTTAAAGGTGGTTATGTTTGAGGGGGGAGGGGGAAACCAGCAGGGAATCTTTCACTGTACACACTTATGCATCCATCATTTTTTCAAATTATTCTTATTATCACATATTTATGATATATATAAGATACATGAAACAACAAGTTTGAGGAGAAAATAATAGCATTTACTTTTTTTTTTGAGCTTGAATCCAAATTTAAAAGAATGAGGGAGCTATGGCCCTCTTGTGGAGAACTTCAGCAATGCACTTTTCTTAAAAGTCTCAACGTCTAAATTTATAGGTAGAAAGAACTAGAATTTTATATCATTTAATATCACAACATATATAAAATTCAATGCCATTGAATGTAGTTCTTTCAGAATCTTGGAAATATCTTTGTACAATCCGAACTTACCATGCATTTTCTGTGTGCAACACGATGGTACCTAATAGTTGCATTTCGTGGGAAAGGTCTGAGCACACCAGCTTGCTGTGAGAGTATATTTGCTAGCATACATGATTCAATTACAGGAAATGCTGACCTCTAATAATTACAAAAGCTTGTTGCTAATTAAAAAACAGTCGTTGCTTATGCCAATCTCTACACTACGATCTATGTAGACAGCTGTCACCTCCAAACTGAATCACTGTATGTGAATAATAAAGGTGCTTATTTTCATGGGCTAATTTAAAACATTTCTAACAAGAGAAAATATTTCAGAACTATACATGGCTATGTCAACCGCCGAATTCCCTCGGTCCGGTTGAAGGCGTGCAGAGTTTCCTGTCAACCTGTGCTCCGAAGCAGAACAGTCTCCAACCCGACCACTGTGACTTGCTCCATATTAACTATGGGCTACCTTGGAAATGTACCGTCTCTCATTGTAAAACTCCCCAAAGGGCAATTCAAATCACATTTAGAATTTCCTATTTACATTGCAATAGCCATGGCAGAAGTTTGAATGTCACAGTACAAATCTGGTACCAAATGCTGAGCATGTTCAGCGGATTCAGTTTCAGAATTCACTTCACATGAGCATATTTTCATCAAGTGAAAGGGGGAGGGAGTGTCATGGGATAAGATTGTGATATGAACTCTGGACTTAACTCTTCATCATCTTTAACAAGTAAACTGGTGTTTTTGCCTAGGCAAAAAAGAATTTACCAGACTAGATTACATAGTAACCCTGCCTTTTAAACTCTTATGCAGAAAAATCAAGTGAGAACAGACCACTAGTATTTCCAGTTAAATTTCATGTGTGATAAAGGGAAATTTGGTTAGAACAGCTTAGCAAATAGAGGCAACTTTCTTGAAGAGGAAATTATTTTTCTAGACAACTAATGAAGATTGCTAATTATTTTGCTTTCTCAATAGGAAATATATTAGGACATCATTTTTATCTTTTAATTTATTTTTTAGTATATGAATTTATAGAAGTAGATTTTTCAAAGTAAATAAACTAACATCATTTTCAGCAAACTGTGTTTTGTGTGCTTTGTTTTGCCTTTAAAAACATTCTAATTAATGATCTGCAGGAAGAAAATGTTATTCTAACTGAACCCAGTCACACACATGCATGGGATCTTAATCTCCAGATTCCTCAGTTCACCCAACTGAGGTGAACTTGAATGAGCTCATCTAGACAAAGCTGGAAGTTAAAAATGGCATTGAGTAATGCTATTTCATGTAAATGGCTGGGTGGTTGAATTCACCTCTGCCCAATTTTTCCTATTTCGTGGACGTGTACATTTATTTGCAGTACATGATGATATGCCTAGCAATTTGTTACAATCTAACATTAAAACAATTTATTCTGACCTGTCTGAAGTTTGTTTAAAGATAAACTGTATCAAAAGACAATGTGTAATTATCATAGACTTCCAGGCTCAGAAAAAAATATAGTCTTATTATTTGGAATTTAAACAGTCATGGAAAAAATAACAGAGGTGTCTCTTGGCTAAGACTGCCTTTGAACAGTCCTGAATTTGGAGACATAAATTTTTGCCTTAATTTGAAAACTGATAGAATCCACTTGGGTCTTGAACTATGTGTGTTCAAATATATGTGAAGGGACTAGATCTATCATTATGTGGCGTATTCTCAACTCAGGTTGAAGAAAACAAAACATAGCTTGTTATTCACTATACATTGGGGAGAAATTTATTTTTCTTTAAACTTTTGAGTTTATTAAAACACTTGAAACATGTCACTTACACCGGGTTTTGATAACAGGTTCACATATTAGATTACTCCATTGGATTGAAACTTACACTTTTCTAAAGAAGTAGGACAAATATTTTTGGATACCCAAAATTCATTCCATAAATTTTGTTTCTAGTATCAAACAAAACAAGAAAGGGGTAAAGCAGGTTTTGTTAGATGCAAGCTTCAAAAAAGATAAAAGCTAGATTAGAGAATCATATATATTAAGACAGTTACTCTTTAACAATTTTTATGGTGGTCTTAAGCATTATTCAGTACCAACTTGTTGAAACATATTATTTTAAACCTCAGTGCCATCTAGTTAAAGACATTCTATGACAGCCTTACCATACACAGTGTGTACCATAGTATAATGGAAAAATAAGGGACTTGGTGAGATTTGGCTTCTATCCTAGCTCTGCAAAATAAAGATGACAATACTTACCACACATTGTGCTGTCAGGCATTAGAGATAATGTTTAAACAACAGCTGGCCCAGGCCCTGGCATAAAGCTGGCAAGAATAGCAATAAGTAACTTTATTCCTAACAAGCACGTAAATTAAAGCACAAAGGTCAAAGACAAGAAGCTAGAGCTGCCAGAAGAAAAAGTATAAAAGTCACTGTTAGAACTCATCCTTCTTATACAAGATCTAAATTTTAATTTTTAATTCAACCACAATGTTTCCCAGCCTTTACTGATGTTCTATTAATGGATAGATTTTCCAAAAGGAAGAAATTACTTAGCCAAGTTTCTCATTATGTAGAAACTATGAAACTATAGAACTATAGCTAGAACTATAGCACAACAGCATTTAATGTGAGCAGCCTTTTTTTTTTTTTTTTAGACGTAGTCTTTCTCTGTTGCCCAGGTTGGAGTGAAATGGCATGATCTCGGTTCACTACAACCTTTGCCTCCTGGGTTCAAGCGATTCTCCTGCCTCAGCCTCTCGAGTAGCTGGGACTAGAGGCACACACCAACATGTCCAGCTAATTGTTTTGTATTTTTAGTAGAGATGGGGTTTCACCATGTTTGCCAGGATGGTCTCGATCTCCTGACCTCGTGATCCACCTGGCTCGGCCTCCCAAAGTGCTGGAATTACAGGCGTGAGCCACCAAGCCAGGCCGTAAGTGGTTCTTTTATAACATAAGCCAATAACATGATAAGCCAGATCATGTTACTTCTCTGCTCATAGCCCTTCAGTGGTTCCCCCATTTCATTCAGCTAAAAGCCAAGTTTTACAATGGCCCCCAAGACCCTATATAGCAACCCTTCCCCTCTACTTTTCTGACTTCATCTCTATAGCTCTTCTCTTCTGTGTCTCCACTTCTGACTCACTGACCTCTTGCTGTTCTTTACTTCCTCATCTTGACTCAAATCCTGCCTTCTCAAAGAGGCCCACCTTGACCACCCTATTTAATACAATAAAATGTTTTGCCTACTCTGTGGCCCCAATCCCCTTCACATTACCCTGTCCTACTTTGTCTTTTTTCCGGTAGTATTTATCACCTTCTATTGTGCTATAAAATGCACTTGTTTATTATGTTTATTCTTCATAATACATTTCCTCTTGCTAGAAGGTAAACTCTAAGAGTAGTGCTCTTTATTTTGCTCATAGGTATATCCCAATTGATCCCAAGATTAGCATTTGGCACCTAGAAAAATGGGCACAGAATATTAACCAGCAATTCATGGAAGAGTACACTTGAAGAGACAATGTATGAAAAGACGCAAAAGCTCACTAGCAATTAGAGAAGGCTGACACAAGGTAGACAATAAAGTAATGCAACTACAGCGTTCACTGATTTGCCTACTTTGGAGAACAATTTGAAGTTATTTAACAAAGTTTACAATGCAGTATCCTTTGACCCAGCAAATTCATGGCTGGTAGAAACCTTAAATAAACCCTACCACACGTGCACAAGGGGATATGCAGAGAGATGTTTGTTGAAAAGCTATTGGCCATACTAGACAATTAAAAACAACCTATATCTCCCTTTAGAATGGAAAGCAAAGTTTTGGCTCATTCATACAACAGGGCATTTACACATTTAAAAGAAATGGACATTGTCAACATATATAAATACAAACTAAATTCCAAAGCAATGTTGAGTGAAAAAACAAGTTGTGGGTTGAGAATTATAATATGATGTTGTTTATTAATCAGTGATTAAAAGCCGACAGAACAAGACTATAAGTTGTGAACTGAATACACTGTTACCTTCTTAACTCCATATAATGCTCTGCAGTTCATGAAGCCCTCCCACATATTCCAGCACAGTCTCTGTCTCTTGGTGTCAAGTTCTTTCCTTCTCACCCGGTTTTTGAGTCAGCTCCAAGTTTAGATGAAGTTCAGTGATTCCGCCCCAGGTACAACGAATAGCACGTTGTGCCTCCGAACTCTGTTTCCACATTGCTTTCACATAAACAGGCTTGTTTTAGTTGACTATGGCAGGGAGAGAGCTGCCCTAAATTTCCAAAGTTACACACAATGTTTGCATTAAATAATTTAGGTCATTAGAGTTCAGCCATGACTTTTTCAAAGGGCTGTTTTCATAGACTTTATCTTGTTCCATGTGACATATCTCTAGCAATAGACCATTTAGCTGTTATTTGCAGATAGAGGTCTTAATTTTTGTGGAAATAGAACCACACCATGGTTCCCAAATGCTAGATTATCGGAAAGAGACCAAGATTTCTAGATATAATCTAAATTTTTGAAGCATTAATTACATAAACAGTTCACTTGGACATTTTCTAGACTTGCAACAACTTCGTTATTTGAAACAGAGCAAAAAAAATCAGTTTCTAAATGCTCAATAAGTACGTTTTTTCAGTTTGAAACATTCCAATTTTTCATGAAATGCTTTACTTAAGACGGAAATGACCTAGAAGCTTCCTGGCTCCCAGCATAAATTCTTCTCTTTTCACATGTGAACGTCTCTTTTATAGTAAATATTGACAGGATGAGATTAGGTTGGTCCTCTACAAAAGACCAGTTGTTTAGAGGAAACTGTCTATATTCTTCAGCTTCACCTAAAGGCCTTTTCACTATAACTCTTAGTTACAATTGTTCATACCTGATTTTCCTAAGCCAAATGTTAGCCAGCTTGGTTTCTGAGGCTATTAACCTGAGTCCATAGGTTAATCTCAGGGGTTTCATGATCTCTCTGAAATTGTTAGTAAAAATGAATGTGTATATACGTTTTTATAGGAAGAATTTCCCTAGCTTTCAACAGATCCCTTAAGATATTTAGCCCTCCCCCAAACTCAAAACTAACATTTTAAAAATTGGGCACTGCTTCCAGAAGTAGCTTTCACAGAGTGCAGAAGATGCTGATTCCTTGATTCAGTCCCCAAGAGATCTGATTCTGTTAATCTGTGGTGAAATTCAGGAAACCGCATTTTGAAAAAGTACTTCAATACATCCTGATGCAAGAGATCCCACTAATGTACAGAATAAAATTCAATTTTTATAGTGTGGTCTTCAAAGTGTCTTCTCCTAACTAATCTTTCTTGTCTTATCTTATTTCTTCTATGGCTCATGCTGCCCTACATACATTCAAGTCATTATTTCTCTCATTTATTCTTGAATTCAAATAATAGTTATTGAATTCATTATAGGGGTTCTGTGCTAGGCTTCAAAGATACAATGGTTGGCAGATACTGTAGCCACAAGAAAACAGGTTTTGATGTGTTCACATCTTATCTCCTCTTCCTGCTCCAGATAAGTGCCTATTAGTTCTAGGAGACCCGGTTCAAATATTAACTACTCTATGTAGTCATTTTAGATCTGTTGGGACAGATTACTTGTTTATTTTTCCCTCAGTGTAAGCAGTTTTTTTTTTCACTGAGTCTATGGAAAATTTCCCCTCGGTCAGGGATTTTACACTGAAAAAAGTGAGATCGAGGTGGACAGCCCACCATCTTGTGTTCCCTGGCAGGGTTCCCTTTCAATGCTGTCTCTGTCTCAACCAACAGGGAACAATGAAAGCGCCTGGCTTCCTTTGGGCCAGAACTGCCATTTTCTAGTAATTCACCAAAATGAACACAAAGGGAAAGAGGAGAGGCACTTGATACGTGTTCTCTAGGCCTTTTAGAAAACATGGAGCTGTTCCTTTGGACATGTACATGAGAGTTTATAAGAAAGGTGATATTGTAGACATCCAGGGAATGAATACTGATCAAAAAGGAATGTCCTACAAGTGTTACGAAGGCAAAACTGGGAGGGTCTACAATGTTACACAGCATGCTGTTGGCACTGTTGTAAGCAAACAAGTTATGGGCAAGGTTCTTGTCAGGAGAATTATTGTTCATATTGAGCATATTAAGCACTTTAAGGGCTGAGGCAGCTTCCTGAAACTTGTGAAGGAAAATGATCAGAAAAGAAGAAAGCCAAAGAGAAAGTCACCTGGGTTCAAGAGAAGTGCCAGCCTGCTCCACCCAGAGATGCACACTTTGGGAGAACCAGTGAGAAGGAGCCTGAGCTGCCGGAACCCAGTCGCTATGGATTCATGGCAAATAGGTATAGAAAAGTAAAAGACCTCTGGACTGCAAAAGTGTTTCTTTTCATTGAGTGGAAGTGTGGTGTCCTCTCCCCCAAAGAAATATTTAAAGCAAATTTTAATTGTGTCCTAATTTATTGCGTAATGTCTTTACTATTCAAATTCAATGTATATCTTGCTGAAAGATGTGAAGAGGCTTATTGTGCAACAAATTACTCAATTGGTTAGAAAATGGCCACATGCTATTTATGAAATATTTGTACTGGTTTGAAGATAGTTCCTCCAAATCATCATGCAAGAAATAAAATAATTTACCAAAATAATAAAAAAAAAAGTGCCTGAAGACAGAAATACCCCTAAGGACAGCCAGAGACAAAGGGGAGGGGCAGGACTACCATCACCAGCCCTGAAAATTCCACTCTGACCTTAATTACATTGTCATCCAATTACTTATTTTGGGTCCTGGTGCCTGGACTCTTCCTTCTCAGGAGTCACGCAGAAATCTTCGTTGTATCTGTCTGGTTCTCTCCAGTTAAAAAGGCCAAATTCCTAATAACATTTGTTGAGTAGATGAGAAAAATATTACATTTTAATCCCTACCAAGAGTACAGCAGTCTCTCCTTATTTGCAGTTTTGCTTTCTATGGTTTCAGTTACCTATGGTCAACTGTCATCTGAAAATACAAAATGGAGATGTCACCAAAGTGGTGGAGCAGAAGCAAGCCTGTTTCCCTTTTCCCCACAAAAAAACAAAACAAATATACAATACTGAGATTATCACTAGAAACATCCCAAAATTTAAATGTGCTAGGGAGGTCAGGTGCGGTGGCTGTAGCCTGTAATAACAGCACTGTGAGAGGCCAAGGTGGGCAGATCATTTGAGCCCAGGAGTTTGAGACTAGCCTGGGTAACATGGTGAAAACTTGTCTCTACTAAAAATACAAAAAATTTGCCAGGTGTGGTGATGCACACCTGTAGTCCCAGCTACTCGAGAGGCTAAGGTGGGAGAATTGTTTGAGCCCTGGAGGCAGAGGTTGCAGTGAGCCAAGTTCGTGCCACTGCACTCCAGCCTGGGTGACCAAGTGAGAACCTGTCTCACATAAATAAATAAATGAGGAAATAGCTCCTGGGGCTACAGAGAATCAAAAGTCTTTGTTCAAATGGCAAAGAATTGGACTTTTATATGTGGTACACCATTTTCCTAATCTGCCAGGCACCAAGCCTGTGGAAAATTCCCCCTCCCCACTCAGGGCTACTGTACTAGAAAAAGCGAGATTGAGGTGGACAACCAGCTTTCCCACTATCTTGTGTTCCCTAGCAGGAGACCTGTTCCTGCCTCAACCCACAGAGAGTATTTGCAGGGCCTGAAGTGAAAAATATCCCTGACGACAGCCAGAGACAAATGTGGGAGGCACAACTACCATCCCCAGCCCTGGAAACTCTGTTCTGTGTCTTGACCAAAAGAGTTGACAAATCAGAGTGGTTATTCAGCAGCGCCAAACCTTAGGAGGTATATTCCAAGGGTCCCCTGGGCATAAAACTCTAGCCAGCCTTCCCATACTTCTAGCATATCCTCTTTGG